>NT_167245.2:1831615-2111710 GCF_000001405.40 Homo sapiens
GGCCAGGCACAGTGGCTCAGGCCTATAATTCCAACAGTTTGGGAAGCTGAGGCAGGAGAATTGCTTGAGGCCAGAGGTTCAGGATTAGCCTGAGCAACATAGTGAGACCTCCTCTCTAAAAATTATTATTTTTTTAATTAGGCAGGCATGGTGGCGCTTGCCTGTAGTCCTAGCTACTCAGGAGGCTAAAGTGGGAGGATCACCTAAGCCTAGGAATTTAAGGTTACAGTGAGTTATGATCATGCCACTGCATTCCAGCCTGGGTGACAGAGCAAGACCCTGTCTCTTAAAAAAAAAAAAAAAAAAAGGAGGGTGTGTGTGTGTTGTATACATGTGTGTGTATCTACACATATCTCCCAAATTGAATTTATAATATCTTCTTCCTTCCTATAAGACCTTCTCTTCCACTGCCTCCTTAATTAATAAATGGTACCACTTAGCCCAGCTAATTTTGCCAGCTAAAAACACAGGAGTCATCTCTGAGTGCTCTTTTTTTTTTTTTTTTTTTTTTTTTTTTTTTTGAGAAAGAGTCTTGCTCTGTCACCCAGGCTGCAGTACAATAGCGTGATCTCAGCTCACTGCAACCTCCGCCTCCTGGGTTCAAGCAATTCTCCTGTCTTAGCCTCCTGAGTAGCTGGGATTACAGGCGCCCGCCACTATGCCTGGCTAATTTTTTGTATTTTTAGTAGAGACTGGGTTTCACCATGTTCACCAGACTAGTCTTGAACTCCTGACCTCAAGTGATCCGCCTGCCTCTGCCTCACAAAGTGCCGGGATTACAGGCATGAGCCACCGCGCCCGGCCGGGTGCTCTTTATTCCCCACCTCTAGCCCCATCCTATGAATTCTTCTTTATGTCCGCTTGTCACCACCACCCAGACTACTCTGACAGCCTCCCCAGTGGATTTCCCACTATGCTTATTCCCTCCGATTCTTGCTGTACTCTGAAGCCAGAGTGAAACTTTAAAGTGTGAAAGTGATCATACCAATAAAGTCCCCATTCCTTAACCTTGCTACAAGGCCCTCACTCCAGCCTTACCTTGCACCATTCTCCCCTCAGTCTGTAAGCTTAGCCATACCAAACCTTTCCCTGTCTCTCAGTGTGTGTGCTTTCTCACAGCTGGGCCTGTGCACAGCACTGGAATTACACCATGTGTCTGACTAACTTCTCATACTCCTCATTACTTCAGTTATTTGCTTAAATGCCATCTTCTTAGAGAGGCCGCCACCAGAGATGAAGCCAGCCTCTCCCCCACCACCAAGTAGGCTTTACCTTTTCTTTTGGAACCTTCAGTACACCTGGAATTACCTATTTAAAAATCTCTCTTCCTATAGCCTGCAAGCTCCAGAGGAGACCACATTTGTCTTGTTCATTGCTATAATCCCCTACGCTAGCACAATATCTGACACATGGTAGCTGTCTAGTAGATACTTAGTGGATGAATGAATAGAGATGGGAATTATTATTTCTGCAGGAGTTGTGAGACAGTACAAATATTTAAGGAGTGATAGTTAAGCTAGAAAAATAATAAAATAGGATAGAGGCTACAGAGATCTTTGCAGGGGGGATCAGACTGCTTTGGAATTTGCAGATAAGCATTCACGATGTCCGCTTAACTTTCTAGACAAAGTGGTGAAGAAAGGGAAGAAGGACAAGAAGATCAAAAAAACGGTGAGAAAATGAGGGTTGAGGATAAGAAATGACTATGGATGTTTCCAAGCTAAATAAATAGCCATGTGAAGGAGGTGGGAGGTCCAAGGGAGGAGAAAAGATCTTGTCAAGAGAGGAGATAGGCAGGGCACGGTGGCTTACACCTGTAATCCCAGCGCTTAGGGAGGCAGAGGTGGGAGGATAGCTTAAGCCCAGGAATTTGAGACCTGCACACTCCATTCTCCACAAAAAGAAAAAAAAGAGAGAGACAGGAGGTAAGGTGAGGGTGGAGTGGAGGGCCAGTGGGCCAATGTGTGGCAGAGCACAGCCTGCTTGGATTGCTCTTGGAAACATGTTTACCTGTAGCTTAACTCCCTTTATAGTTCTTTGAAGAGCTGGCAGTAGAAGATAAACAGGCTGGGGAAGAAGAGAAAGTGCTCAAGGAGAAGGAGCAGCAGCAGCAGCAACAGCAACAGCAGGTACAAGTGCCACAGGGCCCACCAATCCTGGGAGGCATCTGGGTTCCACCAACCCCTTTCCAGCCCATGTTGCTCCATTCAGCTGATGGGGAACCCTCTGTGAGGCAGAAATACAGCAGGGGCCTGGGCTTCATTTTCTCACTGTTCTTTTGCTCTCAGCAGCAAAAAAAAAAGCGAGATACCCGAAAAGGCAGGCGGAAGAAGGATGTGGATGATGATGGAGAAGAGAAAGAGCTCATGGAGCGTCTTAAGAAGCTCTCAGTGCCAACCAGTGATGAGGAGGATGAAGGTAAATGACCTGAGGGGGAATGGGTACCTGGAATCCATGAGTCATGGAGAGTGATACCTCATACCCTGATCTTCAAGTTGGATTCAATTGGGGGGCCAGACATTGTAATTCTTTCCTATCTCATGTTCTCCCCCTGTCATTTCAGTACCCGCCCCAAAACCCCGCGGAGGGAAGAAAACCAAGGTAAGCCATCTGTGTGGTAAACGGAGACTCCAAGGATGCAACCTTGACCATCCTACTGACTTCTGTGGCCCTTTCATTCTCTAGGGTGGTAATGTTTTTGCAGCCCTGATTCAGGATCAGAGTGAGGAAGAGGAGGAGGAAGAAAAACATCCTCCTAAGCCTGCCAAGCCGGAGAAGAATCGGATCAATAAGGTGACAGTGGTGGCTCGATCAGTCACTCTCACTCCATTTAGCACCTTCTGGCCATGGTGGAGTAATTTCCCGCTTTTAAACTAGCTCTTCTCGGTCTGTCTTACTTATACTGTTAAAATCATCTTTTTAGAATACATGCCCAGGCTGGGCACAGTGGGTCACGCCTGTAATCCCAGCACTTTGGGAGGCCGAGGTGGGCGAATCACGAGGTCAAGAGATCGAGACCAGCCTGACCAACATGGCGAAACCTCATCTCTACTAAAAATACAAAAATTAGCCAGGCGTGGTGGCGTGCGCCTGTAATCCCAGCTACTTGGAAGGCTGAGGCAGGAGAATCACTTGAACTTGGGAGGTGGAATTTGCAGTGAGCTGAGATTGAGGCACTGCACTCCAGCCTGGGCAACAGAGCAAGACTCAGTCTCAAAAAAAAAACAACAAAAAAAACCATGCCATTTTTATCACTCAGAAATCTACAGTGATTCTGTTGCTTTAAGCACAGAACCTGAAACAAAGCCCCAGGTCCTTGCTCTTCTACTTGTGACTCTTCTGCGTGTGCATCTTAGTCCATGTCCATTTGAGCTCTTGAGAAAGCCTCCAGTGCTAGTGCCACTCACTCTGGTGGCGCACTTGCCTGACTTATAATCCTTAGCCTTGCTGACGTTCCCTAGTTATCTCTTCGCTATCTAGTCTGAAGCTGGAGGGTAGGGTTTTTCTGGGTCTCATTTTTCGTCAGCAGCACTCAATACAGATGGTCTCCAACTTCTGCTTCGGTGTACGATTTTTCTACTTTATGATGGTGTGAAAGTCATACTCATTTAGGGTACTCCTCAACTCATGATGGGATTATATCCAGATAAACCCATCATAAGTTGGAACTATTTTTTTTTTTTTTTTTTTTTTGAGACGGAGTCTCACTCTGTTGCCAGGCTGGAGTGCAGTGGCGTAATCCTGGCTCACTGCAACCTCCGCCTCCCGGGTTCAAGTGATTCTCCTGCCTCAGCTTCCTGAGTAGCTGAGATTACAGGCACGTGCCACCACGCCCAGCTAATTTTTGTGTTTTTAGTAGAGACAGGGTTTCACCATGTTGACCAGGATGGTCTCGATCTCTTGACCTTGTGATCCACCTGCCTTGGCCTCCCAAAGTGCTGGGATTACAGGTGTGAGCCACCACGCCCGGCCAAGAACTATCATTTTTTATTTAAGTTTCTGGTGGGTTTATCGGGATGCAACCTGTCGTAAATGGAGGAGCATGTGTATGGTTAACACAGTAGACTCTCTAGAAATGCTTATTACACAGCAAAGTAGCACAATAATTTGTATGTATGTGTGTAATGTGTATGTGTGTCTCCTCCAGGCCGTATCTGAGGAACAGCAGCCTGCACTCAAGGGCAAAAAGGGAAAGGAAGAGAAGTCAAAAGGGAAGGCTAAGGTGAGAGAGTAACTAGCAGGAGGAGGTATTGGGGCCCAGGAATTAAAACATTTCATCAGGGCTGGGCGCGGTGGCTCACGCCTGTAATCCCAGCACTTTGGGAGGCCGAGGTGGGCGGATCACGAGGTCAGGAGATCGAGACCATCCTGGTAACACGGTAAAACCCCGTCTCTACTAAAAATACAAAAAAAATTAGCCGGGCGTGGTGGCGGGCGCCTGTAGTCCCAGCTACTCGGGAGGCTGAGGCAGGAGAATGGCGTGAACCCGGGAGGTGGAGCTTGCAGTGAGCCGAGATTGCGCCACTGCACTCCAGCCTGGGTGACAGAGCGAGACTCCGTCTCAAAAAAAAAAAAAGAAAAAAAAAAAAACATTTCATCAGACCTGTCTTTTCCCTATTAGCCTCAAAATAAATTCGCTGCTCTGGACAATGAAGAGGAGGATAAAGAAGAAGAAATTATAAAGGAAAAGGAGCCTCCCAAACAAGGGAAGGAGAAGGCCAAGAAGGCAGAGCAGGTGTGTATTTGGTGTTGGGGCAAGGTGGAATGAGGGACTAGGGCTTCCAGGGTCCTTATGGGAGAGTTAGAATCTGGGGATATAGTTATTATCCCAGCAAACCTTTATTCTTTTCTTTTTTTGGGGGAGTAGTTGGGGTGGTGGTTCGTTTGTTTTTGTTTTTGTTTTTGTTTACACAGGATCTTACTCTGTCACTCAGGCTGGAGTGCAGTGGTGTGAACACGGCTCACTGAAGCCTCAACCTCCTGGGCTCAACAGATTCTCCTGCCTCAGCCTACTGAGTAGCTGGGACTACAAGTGTGCACCACTACCCCTGGCTAATTTTTTTATTTTTAGTATAGAGATGAGGTCTCACTATGTTGCTCAGGCTGGTCTTGAACTTCTGGGCTCAAGCAGTCCTCCTGCCTCAGCCTCCCAAAATGCTGGGTTTACAGGTGTGAGCCAGCATGCCAGCCAGCAAACTTTTTCTATAAAGGGCCATATAGTAAATGTTTTTGGCTTTGCAGGCCACATACAATCTCTATCACATATTCTTTTTTTTTTTTAACAACTCTTTGAAAATACAAAAATTATTTTTATAAAGTTCAGGAGCTATATAAAAATAAATGTCAGGTCAGCCTTGGCCCATGGGCTGTAGTTTGCAACACCTAATCCAGTGAAGAAAGGGCCTGGAATTTATCTCAGATGATCTGGGTCCTGGCTCTGCCTTCACTGGCTGTGTGACCTTGAATACATCTTCCCATCCCCTTGGGTCTCACTTGTCTCCTTTGTGTGATAGAAGGAGGAGTCCGGAGATCTCTAGGGTCCCTATGCGTCTGGCACTTCCTAATTCTGTGATTCTGCTGGATTCCTCTGACTGTGCACTAGAGCTTCCTGATCTTTTTTTTTTTTTTTTTTTTTTTTTGAGATGGAGTCTCACTCCGTTGCCCAGGCTGGAGTGCGGTGGCGCAATCTCAGCTCACTGCAACCTCTGCCTCCCGGGTTCAAGCAATTCTTCTGCCTCAGTCTCCCGAGTAGCTGGGACTACAGGCACGTGCCACCATGACCGGCTGATTTTTTGTGTTTTTAGTAGAGACAGGATTTCACCATGTTAGCCAGGATGGTCTTGATCTCCTGACCTTGTGATCTGTCCATCTTGGCCTCCCAAAGTGCTGGGATTACAGACATGAGCCACCGTGCCCGGACGGCTACCTGATCTTTTCTTTGCATGTTAACAAGGAAACCACAGAAACTCATTTTATACAAATGAAACTCTTGAAATCCATTTACTCCACCTTCAGTTACATTGTATTGGGAGTTACATTTATAGGGACATAACGCGTTGTCACATTTCATAAATACACATTCATACCATTTGTCTTGTACCATTCCTGGTAGCAGAAATTAATAAAGGACCTCAGGGAGACCAGGGGCTGGGTATGAGAATGAGAGAGGATCCCAAGATATTTTAGGACTCTGAGTAGTGAAGGAAAGAGCTGGGGCAGGGACAGGGGGCAGATGATGTGAAATCTGAGTTCTAGAAGGAGTCCCTAGTTTTTTTTTGTTGTTTTTTTTTTTGAGACGGAGTCTTGCTTTGTCACCCAGGCTGGAGTGCAGTGGCACGATCTCGGCTCACTGCAAGCTCCTCCTCCCAGGTTCACACCATTCTCCTGCCTCAGCCTCCCGAGTAGCTGGGACTACAGGCGCCCGCCACCACGTCCGGCTAATTTTTTGTATTTTTAGTAGAGATGGGGTTTCACCATGTTAGCCAGGATGGTCTTGATCTCCTGACCTTGGGATCTGCCCGCTTTGGCTTCCCAAAGTGCTGGGATTACAGGCGTGAGCCACCGCGCCCAGCCAGGAGTCCCTAGTTTTGACCATCCCCGGGTTCTCACAGGGTTCAGAGGAAGAAGGAGAAGGGGAAGAAGAGGAGGAGGAAGGAGGAGAGTCTAAGGCAGATGATCCCTATGCTCATCTTAGCAAAAAGGAGAAGAAAAAGCTGAAAAAACAGGTAAGACCTTGGTTCTTAGCGGTCAAAAGTAGGGGATTTTTAAATACTTCAACTAGGGGACATGCGATTGGGGACACGAAGGAAAGGTTTGGGGGCTACTCCAAGTAAAACAATCGGAGTAAGAAAATAATTGTGTTCTGTGAACCTTATCTCAATGTCTGATGACATGGGCTGTTTCACTTTGGGGTTTTTTGTTTATTTTTTGAGACAGGGTCTCACACTGTTACTCAGGCTGGAGTGCAATGACGTGATCTCTGTTCACTGCAGCCTCAACCTACCAGGCTCAAGTGATCCTCCCACCTCAGCCTCCCGAATAGCTGAGACTATGGGTGGCACCACCATGCCTGGCTAATTTTTGTATTTTTTGTAGAGACAGTATTTTAGCATGTTGGCCAGGCTGGTCTCAAACTCCTGAGCTCAAGAGATCCACCTACCTCAGCCTCCCAGAGTGCTGGGATTACAGGCGTGAGCCAGCATGCCCAGCCAGCATGGGCTGTTTCATGGTGATGGGAAACTGGTAGACTGTGGCTTCAAATGTAGTTTTTCCTACCTTCTCAGATGGAGTATGAGCGCCAAGTGGCTTCATTAAAAGCAGCCAATGCAGCTGAAAATGACTTCTCCGTGTCCCAGGCGGAGATGTCCTCCCGCCAAGCCATGTTAGAAAATGCATCTGACATCAAGGTAAGGTCTCAAGGGGCCCCTTCCAGTCCACTTACCTAGGGAAGAGCCAGTTCTCTCATCTTCCCTGAGTGGCTGTGGTGTGTGAATGGGTTAGTTCAGTGGGAAGAAAGATTGGAGGCATTTTCCACACCTTAGGTTCTGCCAACTTGAGCAAGAAGATAGAAAAACCAGTAGAAGTGGGGTCCACCCTTGGCAGAAAATAGTGTGGGACAGACTAGACTAGCTGAGGATGCATGGGGCTCCCATTACAGGCAGCGAACAGGGCGGGGACCGGCTGTGGGGAGAGGAAGGGGATTATGCTGGAGGTAGCGGTTTGTCAGGGGCTTCCCTGCAGGGAGAAAGTGGCCGCTCCTGTCCCAAAGGGAGAATTTTCATGTGATCATCCCTTCCCTCTGCCACCTCTTTCCTGATGGCTGCAGCTGGAGAAGTTCAGCATCTCCGCTCATGGCAAGGAGCTGTTCGTCAATGCAGACCTGTACATTGTAGCCGGCCGCCGCTACGGGCTGGTAGGACCCAATGGGTGAGAAGAGGAGGGAGCTGGAGGCAAAAAAGGGCCTGGAGGGAAAAGAAGAGATTTCTCAGTGGTGGCCAGGTCCTAATAGCTTTTATTCCCCAGCAAGGGCAAGACCACACTCCTCAAGCACATTGCCAACCGAGCCCTGAGCATCCCTCCCAACATTGATGTGTTGCTGTGTGAGCAGGGTGAGACCACTGGGGAGAAAAGGGGCTTGGTGGGGTGGGCAGTTGGGTAGAAAAGCCAGCCAGCCAAGAATAGAAGAAATTGTGGCTATGGAGTTGGAAGGGATGTGGAGGGAGACTGGAGACCGGGAAAGGGATGCTAAGGAAAGGAGGGGAGGGTCAATGAGGAACTTGAGAGTGTTTTATTTGGAACAAGTACAAAGAGCTGGGCAGGGTCAGGCAAAACAGAAATGTAATTGAAGGGAAAGAAAGATGAGACTCTTGGCTCTTGAGGCTGCCTGACTGTTCTCCCTCTGCCTCCCAGAGGTGGTAGCAGATGAGACACCAGCAGTCCAGGCTGTTCTTCGAGCTGACACCAAGCGATTGAAGCTGCTGGAAGAGGAGCGGCGGCTTCAGGGACAGCTGGAACAAGGGGATGACACAGCTGCTGAGAGGCTAGAGAAGGTAGAGGAGATGGCGCAGGGGACACGGGCAAAGACTTGGGGGTTCCTGGGACCCTCAGACGTGTGTCCTCTTCTCCCTCCTCCCAGGTGTATGAGGAATTGCGGGCCACTGGGGCGGCAGCTGCAGAGGCCAAAGCACGGCGGATCCTGGCTGGCCTGGGCTTTGACCCTGAAATGCAGAATCGACCCACACAGAAGTTCTCAGGGGGCTGGCGCATGCGTGTCTCCCTGGCCAGGTGGGCCATTCACCTCACTGCCCTCCCTTCCAGCCTCAGACCACCGGGGCCCTTTTCCTCTTTCCCTTCTCATTCTTCCAAGGCCAATAGGGAGGCTCAAGGCTTACCTCTCCCTCCTTACTATCTGTGTTGTGAGAACTTAGGGTCTTTCTCTATTTCTCTCCCTACTTGGTGGTGAGTTCTCATCAACATACCCTGCAGCTGGGTGCAATGGGTCACGCCTGTAATCCCAGCACTTTGGAAGGCAGAGGCAGGAGGATTATCTTGAACCCAGGAGTTTGAGACCAGCCTGGGCAATATAGTGAGACTCTATCTTCACAAAAGGGGGAAGAAAACATATCCTAGCCTGGGCAACATAGGGAGACCCTGTCTCTACAAAAAATTTAAAGATCAGCTGGATATGGTGGCGCACGCTGTGGTCACAGCTACTCTGGAGGCTGAAGTAGAAGTATCACTTAGACCTGGGAGATTTAGACTACAGTGAGCCCTTATTGTGCCACTGCACGACAGCCTGGGCAACAGGGCGAGACCCTGTCTCAAAAAAATTAAACCGTATCCTGCCCGAGAACTTCTCTGAGGAGAGCTTGGGAAGGCGTGTTCATGGTCTCAGGCTCTATCTCCGAGTTTTCTCTGGGGTTGTCTGAGCAAGGATCTTTCTCTCCCTGACCCTGCCCTCTGCTACCCACCCTCTAGGGCACTGTTCATGGAGCCCACACTGCTGATGCTGGATGAGCCCACCAACCACCTGGACCTCAACGCTGTCATCTGGCTTAATAAGTGCGTTACGGCCTTTGCATCATTGGTTCCCATTCTGCACTTTCTTCCCCTTCCCTCCCTGCCCTGTTTTCCTTTAGCCCTTCTCCACTGTGCCTGTGAGTGGAGCTCTATTCAGACCCCCCTTTCCCTCCCAGCCCCCGTTGTCTGCCTGCTTCCTCTGAATTCTCTCTCACTTGACCACTGTGACACTTACACCCTGTTCTCTGAAACCCAGCTACCTCCAGGGCTGGCGGAAGACCTTGCTGATCGTCTCCCATGACCAGGGCTTCTTGGATGATGTCTGCACTGATATCATCCACCTCGATGCCCAGCGGCTCCACTACTATAGGGGCAATTACAGTAAGTAGGATTGTGTGTGGATGCAGGGAAGAGATAGAACCTCGAAAAGAGGCCTGAGTGGGAGGGCCTATTTAGATAAACTGAATCCTGTCAGAATTCCAGACAGTGATGCCTACCCCATCACCACCAGTCCCTGGTTGTCCCTTTGCTGGGAAGAGGAGCAACCACTGATGCCTGGTCCCCTCTTCTGCCCCAGTGACCTTCAAAAAGATGTACCAGCAGAAGCAGAAAGAACTGCTGAAACAGTATGAGAAGCAAGAGAAAAAGCTGAAGGAGCTGAAGGCAGGCGGGAAGTCCACCAAGCAGGCGGTGAGCACCTGAGGGACTTCTGGGCTGGGGGCCACTGTTCTCTCCTGGCAGTGGAGGAAGAAGGAGACTCTGGAACGCTGGCCTACATTTCAAGGACTGCCGTGCAGGGCTCAGGTTTCTCTTTTTTCCTCTTCCTCTCCAGGAAAAACAAACGAAGGAAGCCCTGACTCGGAAGCAGCAGAAATGCCGACGGAAAAACCAAGATGAGGAATCCCAGGAGGCCCCTGAGCTCCTGAAGCGCCCTAAGGAGTACACTGTGCGCTTCACTTTTCCAGACCCCCCACCACTCAGCCCTCCAGTGCTGGGTCTGCATGGTGAGTGCCGCGGGCCTCTGCTGCTCCACAGGAAGCACCGGAAGCATGTATGTGCACCCTAAATTCTCCACCAAGGCTGAGATTGCTCCTGTTCTCCAAGGCCAGCACATGAGAGGGACTTTGCAGGGACTGAAAAGAATATAAATTGCTTCTTTTCGTGGCTTTCAGGTGTGACATTCGGCTACCAGGGACAGAAACCACTCTTTAAGAACTTGGATTTTGGCATCGACATGGATTCAAGGAGTGAGTTGGCGGGGTTGCCTCAGGGATGTGTAGCAGGAGCCACAGGGAGAGTCTCTGGGGACCTCTTTGACCACCTGTCTTCCATCTTGCAGTTTGCATTGTGGGCCCTAATGGTGTGGGGAAGAGTACGCTACTCCTGCTGCTGACTGGCAAGCTGACACCGGTGAGTCCTGGAGCCAAGGAGGGAGAGCATGAGAAATGTGAAGACACAGCTGCTTTTGCCAGAAGCTGGAATCAGGGAGCCTCTCGAGAATGTAGAGTTAAATACAGAACTCATGATAGATGATTCATTTCCCTAAGAGGGGCAGTAGAGGAGGAAAGAGCTTAGATCAGTTCAGGGGGGAGAGCTAAGAGAATTAAGATAGAACTAGGGGGCACACCCACGTGTTTTGGTTATACAAGAAATATATGTCTTTTATAGAACGATTAAAAATTGCATAAACGGGCCAGGCACAGTAGCTCACTCCTATAATCCCAGCAGGGATCACCTAAGGTCAAGAGTTCCAGACCAGCCTAGCCAACATAGTGAACCCCGCCTCTACTAAAAATACAAAAATTAGCCGTGTGCGGTGGCGCGCACCTATATCCTAGCTACTCAGGAGGCTGAGGCAGAATTGCTGGAACCTGGGAGGCGGGGGTTGCAGTGAGCTGAGATTGCACCATTGCACTCCAGCCTGGGCAACAGAGCGAGACTCCATCTCAAAAAAAAAAAAAAATTGGCCTGGCGTGGTGGCTCACGCCTATAATCCCAACTCTTTGGGGGAGGCTGAGGCAGGCAGATCACTTGAGCTTAGGAGTTAAAAACCAGCCTGAGCCCACTGTGGTGGCTCACACCTGTAATCCCAACACTTTGGGAAGCCGAGGTGGGAGATCACCTGAGGTCAGGAGTTTGAGACCAACATGAAGAAACCCCATCTCTACTAAAAATACAAAATTAGCCAGACGTGGTTGCACATGCCTGTAATCCCAGCTATTTTGGGAGGCTGAGGCAGGAGAATCACTTGAACCCAGGAGGCAGAGGTTGCAGTGAGCTGAGATTGCGCTATTGCACTCCAGCCTGGGCAACAAGAGCAAAACTCCGTCTAAAAAAAAAAAAAAGACCAGCCTGAGCAACATGGTGAAATCCCATCTCTACTAAAAATACAAAAATTAGCTGGGTATGTTGGTGCACGACTGTAGTCCCAGCTACTCGGGAGGCTGAGGTAGGAGAATTGCTTGAGTCCAGGGGGCAGAGGTTCCAGTTAGCCGAGGTCGTGCCACTGCACTCCAGTCTAAGTGACAGAGTGAGGCTCTGTCAAAAAAAAAAAAAAAATGCTTAAGAGAAAAATCTGGAGATAACCAGTTTTTTTTTTTTGTTATTTTGTTTTGAGACGGAGTCTCACTGTCGCCCAGCCTGGAGTGCAGTGGTGCGATCTTGGCCCACTGCAACCTCCACCTCCCAGGTTCAAGATATTCTCCTGCCTCAGCCTCCTGAATAGCTGGGATTATAGGTACGCCCCACCATGCCCAGCTACTTTTTGTATTTTTAGTAGAGACAGGGTTTCACCATGTTGGTCAGGCTGGTCTCGAACTCCTGACCTTGTGATCCGCCCGCCTCAGCCTCCCAAAGTGCTGGGATTACAGGCGTGAGCCACCGCTCCCAGCTGAGATAACCAGTATTAATGTTTTAGTGGATATCTTTCTCCTTTTTTCTTTGCAAATGTGCATATAATTTTTAACAAAAATGGGCTGTCATATGAGTTGTTGTGTAGCTAGATTTTTCCAAATATATCAAGCATTTTTCCATGCAATTACTTATTTCATATGAGTCTACCTTTTTTTTTTGAGACAGAGTCTCACTCTGTCACCCAGGCTGGAGTGCAGTGGCACAGTCTTGGCTCACTGCAACCTCCGTCTCCTGGGTTCACGCGATTCTCCTGCCTTAGCCTCCCGAGTAGCTGGGACAACAGGCGCGTGCTACCACGCCCAGCTAATTTTTTGTATTTTTAGTAGAGATGGTTTCACCGTGTTAGCCAGGATGGTCTTGATCTCCTGACCTCATGATCTGCCTGCGTCGGCCTCCCAGAGTGCTGGGATTACAGGTGTGAGCCACCACGCCCGGCAAACTCTACCATTTTATTTGAACTTTTGTAATATATTGCCATCTAGTGTGTTAGAAAGTTTGTAGCCATTTCTGCTCTCTCTAGCAGTGTTGAGAGGCCATTTTCTCATATCCAGAGATTAGATCTTTAGAAAGGTATTATTAGATTCTCCCCAAAACACTAAACTTGCCACATGAGGCCCTTACGATGTACCATTCGTGAGTCTCGCTGTATGGAGAGCAGGTGTTCTTTGGCTGTGGTTAGTCCCTCCTGCTTGTCCCTCTTGTCCTCCATTTTGCTTAACTCCCCTTTTGTCCCTTAACTCTTTTACTTTGCTCACCATGCCTTTGTCATATTAGGGGAACATCCCTGTTCCTTTTCTTTTTTGAGACAAAGTCTTCCCCTGTCCCCGAGGGTGGAGTGCAGTGGTGCGATCTCAGCAACTTCCACCTCCTGGGTTAAAACCATTCTTGTGCCTCAGCCTCCTGAGTAGCTGGGATTATAGGCATGTCCCACTATGCCCAGCTAATTATTGTATTTTTAGTAGAGACAGGGTTTCACAATGTTGGCCAGCCTGGTCTCAAACTCCTGACCTTAAGTGCCTCCTGACCTGCCTTCCTTGGCCTCCCAAAGTGCTGAGATTACAGGCATGAGCCACCGTGCCCAGCCCCTATTCCTTTTCTTATGCATACTTGTCCCTGGCCCATTTCTGGTGTTTGTCTCTCCTTCAGAAAAGTTGGTGTATGGACGAGGTCAGGAGATCGAGACCATCCTGGCTAACATGGTGAAATCCCGTCTCTACTAAAAATACAAAAAATTAGCCGGGTGTGGTGGCAGGCACCTGTATTCCCAGCTACTGGGGAGGCTGAGGCAGGAGAATGGCGTGAACCCGGAAGGTGGAGGTTGCAGTGAGCCGAGATCGCGCCACTGCACTCCAGCCTGGGGGACAGAGCGAGACTCCGTCTCAAAAAAAAAAAAAAAAAGTTGATGTATGGAGCTGCAGCACCTTTTTCCCTTGCCCTCCTCTTAACTACTTTGTCTTCCCTTGCAGACCCATGGGGAAATGAGAAAGAACCACCGGCTGGTAAGTTGGCATTGGGATTTAGGGAATGATAATCTGATGGAGGAAGTGTGACTTTAACCGACCACCTCCCTCTCTTCTCGGGCAGAAAATTGGCTTCTTCAACCAGCAGTATGCAGAGCAGCTGCGCATGGAGGAGACGCCCACTGAGTACCTGCAGCGGGGCTTCAACCTGCCCTACCAGGATGCCCGCAAGTGCCTGGGCCGCTTCGGCCTGGAGAGTCACGCCCACACCATCCAGATCTGCAAACTCTCTGGTACCACTTCAGGGGCCAGGGAGGGTGCCCTTCACCTTATCATTCATGTCTACAAACTGTACCTAGAGGAACCGAGAATGAGGGAGCCTCAGCTCACAAACTGGCACATCTTGAGGGTTTGCCTTCAGAATGTGAGGTGCTAGGTGTGACAGCCCTCCCCTTCCTTTGCTACAGGTGGTCAGAAGGCGCGAGTTGTGTTTGCTGAGCTGGCCTGTCGGGAACCTGATGTCCTCATCTTGGTGAGTGAGCTGGGCTGTGGGAAAAGGGATAAGGGTAACAGTAATGGAAGACGGGAGTTGCAGTGCTCAGTCATGGAATTCCTCCTATGTAGGACGAGCCAACCAATAACCTGGACATAGAGTCTATTGATGCTCTAGGGGAGGCCATCAATGAATACAAGGGTGGTAAGTCAGCTGAGAGTGTGCCCTCATCCCTGCTCCATGGGGACCAAGCTGTAGTGTCCTTCACTACAGAAGGGCCTAGGACTCCCTTATTTCATGTTCTGATTCCCCTCTTTCTCCTTTCTTCCTGCCCTCTGTTGTTGCTATCTTTCTTCAAAGCTGTGATCGTTGTCAGCCATGATGCCCGACTCATCACAGAAACCAATTGCCAGCTGTGGGTGGTGGAGGAGCAGAGTGTTAGCCAAATCGATGGTGACTTTGAAGACTACAAGCGGGAGGTGTTGGAGGCCCTGGGTGAAGTCATGGTCAGCCGGCCCCGAGAGTGAAGCTTTCCTTCCCAGAAGTCTCCCGAGAGACATATTTGTGTGGCCTAGAAGTCCTCTGTGGTCTCCCCTCCTCTGAAGACTGCCTCTGGCCTGCAGCTGACCTGGCAACCATTCAGGCACATGAAGGTGGAGTGTGACCTTGATGTGACCGGGATCCCACTCTGATTGCATCCATTTCTCTGAAAGACTTGTTTGTTCTGCTTCTCTTCATATAACTGAGCTGGCCTTATCCTTGGCATCCCCCTAAACAAACAAGAGGTGACCACCTTATTGTGAGGTTCCATCCAGCCAAGTTTATGTGGCCTATTGTCTCAGGACTCTCATCACTCAGAAGCCTGCCTC
Source organism: Homo sapiens (assembly GCF_000001405.40). Lineage (NCBI taxonomy): Eukaryota > Metazoa > Chordata > Mammalia > Primates > Hominidae > Homo > Homo sapiens. The sequence goes on from NT_167245.2 coordinate 1,846,870, forward strand.
TGATTTACCCTACAGCTTCAGGCCCAGCTGCCCCCCAGTCTTTGGGTGGTGCTGTTCTTTTCTGGTGGATTTAATGCTGACTCACTGGTACAAACAGCTGTTGAAGCTCAGAGCTGGAGGTGAGCTTCTGAGGCCTTTGCCATTATCCAGCCCAAGATTTGGTGCCTGCAGCCTCTTGTCTGGTTGAGGACTTGGGGCAGGAAAGGAATGCTGCTGAACTTGAATTTCCCTTTACAAGGGGAAGAAATAAAGGAAAGGAGTTGCTGCCGACCTGTCACTGTTTGGAGATTGATGGGAGTTGGAACTGTTCTCAGTCTTGATTTGCTTTATTCAGTTTTCTAGCAGCTTTTAATAGTCCCCTCTTCCCCACTAAATGGATCTTGTTTGCAGTCTTGCTGACAGTGTTTGCTGTTTAAGGATCATAGGATTCCTTTCCCCCAACCCTTCACGCAAGGAAAAAGCAAAGTGATTCATACCTTCTATCTTGGAACATGGGTCTCTTTCCTTTTTTTTTTTTTTTTTTTTTTTTGACAGAATCTTGCCCTTTCACTCAGGCTGGAGTGCAGTGGCATGATCTTGGCTCACTGCAGCCTCCACCTCCTGGGTTCAAGCAATTTTCCTGCCTCAGCCTCCCGAGTAGCTGGGATTACAGGCACACACCACCAGGCCCAGCTAATTTTAGTGTTTTTAATAGAGACAGGGTTTTACCATGTTGGTCAGGCTGGTCTCGAACTCTTGACCTCAAGTAATTCACCTACCTTGACTTCCTAAAGTGCTGGGATTATAGGGATGAGCCACTGTGCCCAACTTCTTTTTTTTTCTCTTTTCTGAGACAGGGTCTTGCTGTGTTGCCCAGGCTAGAGTGCACTGTACCCTCAACCTCCTGGGCTCAAGCAATCCTTCCACCTCAGCCTCCTGAGTAGCTGGGACTACAGGCATGTGCCGCCACACTCAACTAATTTTTTTTTTTTTAATTTTTAGTAGAGACAGTGTCTTGCTATGTTGCTTAAGGCTGGTCCTGAACTCCTGACCTCAGGCAGTCTTCCTACCTCGACCTCCCAAAGTGCTGGGGTGCTGGGATTATAGACGTGAGCCACGACGCCTAGCCAGAATTTGGGTCTCATTGTCCAAGTTAATCTCATGAATGAGGAGGTGCTCTGCCCTGTGGCCAGGGACCAGGGTATTGATTCTCTCAAAAATTATTAAATCATCTAGCCAAAATGTACGGTACTGTGGGGTATATAAGAAGGGAAGAGACAAGATCTGCCTTCATTAATAGTCTGGTTAGAGAAGACTTAAAAGTAAGCATGAATAGATAATTAATTTGATCAATTGTCTAATATGTCGTACTCTAGATTCTAAGTTGCCACATACTCAAAAAAGGGAAAGATTATCCAGGGCCTGATTATTTGACAGGGTCACTTGAGGGTAGATCTTGAAAAATGATGATTTGACTAATCAGGGACCAGGGAGCCATTTTTCAGAAGTAGGAAAAGAGCAGATCTCAGGCTTGGGGGGAAGAACAAGCTACTTGGGAGTTAATGGATGATAGCTGCTGTGGCCATTTTTCTTAAGAGTTAGACTGGGGAGATGGGTTTGGAAAGTAAAATGCAAATGGTGGGTAGTGGTATTAGGTGGTGATGTGCAAGGCGTGCTGTAGAAACCTGCAGGGTGAAGCCCATAACTTTTGTTACGGGAATGGGGTAACTGAATCCTAAACTAGCTAGGGGAGATAGGGATGGAAAGAGCAGATGTGGAGGTTGGGGAGAAGGGAGTGACAGGAGATATATCCAGTTCCAGAGGGAATAGGGAGAGCTGTGTGGCTAAGATTTAACTGTTTGGACATTTAATTTGGGGAAATTGTTTTCCAGCCAAGTGAATAAATAATACTGGACTTCAAGTACAAGCTTCATACAGGAAGTGAAGTTTTGGTGTGGAGATAGCTGCATAGTCAGGGAACACTCTAAATTAAAAATAAGGAGGCCGGGCATGGTGGCTCATGCCTGTAATCCCAGCACTTTGGGAGGCGGGCAGATCATGAGATCAGGAGTTCGAGAGCACCCTGACCAACATATTGAAACCCCATCTCCACTAAAAATACAAAAAAATTAGCCGAGCGTGGTGGTGCACACCTGTAGTCCCAGCTACTCAGGAGGCTGAGGCAGGAGAATTGCTTGAACCCGGGAGGCAGTGGTTGCAGTGAGCCGAGGTTGCGCCACTGCACTCCAGCCTGAGCAACAGAGCGAGACTCTGTCTCAAACAAAAACCAAAAGACATCAGGAAACATGCCTCTTATGGAATTTGAGGGGGAAAAGTCAGGGTCTTGGCAGTGACCTTGGACAAGCCATTAGCCTCTTGATACCTCTTTTCTCATCTGTAAAATGAAGGTGGTAGTTACCTACTTCACAGGGTTATTAGGGGATTCAATGTGTAATAATACGTAAAGTGCCTTAAATTCTGTTGCTTTTGTTATATGTATTTCATATTATATATATATATATATTTTTTTTTTTTTTTTTTTTGAGATGGAGTCTTACTCTGTTGCCAGGCTGGAGTGCTGTGGCGTGATCTTGGCTCACTGCAACCTCTGCCTCCTGGGTTCAAGTAATTCTGCTGTCTCACCCTCCCAAGTAGCTGAGATTACAGGCACGTGCCACCACGCCCGGCTAAGTTTTGTACTTTTGGTAGAGATCAGGTTTTGCCATGTTGGCCAGTCTGGTCTCAAACTCCTGACCTCAGGTGATCTGCCCACTTCGGCCTCCCAAAGTGCTGGGATTACAGGCGTGAGCCACCGCACCTGGCCTATACTTTTGCATTTTTAAGTTTTTACTTCGCTAGTCTAGTTGAGATGATACATAAAATATATAGGAATGTTATTTATAAAGTGAATACCAGCTTGCATTTCAAATATTTGGTCACTAATTTCACTACTTCAAACATAAGTGAGAAAAGTACTTTAAGTACTCCAAAATAACTTTCCGCCACAGGCATAAATTTCATTTCTCTCTCTGTTCTTTTTTTTTTTTTTTTTTTTTAAAGATGAGGCCTTGCTATATTGCCCAGGCTGGTCCCAAACTCCTGGCCTCAAGCAGTCCTTTCTCCTAGGCTCCCCAAAGTGCTGGGATTACAGGAATGAGCCACGGCACCTGGCCACAAACTTTATCTCCTCCCGTGTATGTTTTAACTTCTGTGATCCCTGTAGCCAATCATATGTGCTGTTAATGGAATTAATAATTCACCTAAATGTGGGCAAAAGTATGCCCTCCAAAAAGCAGCATAGAAATGGAACACGAAAGGGAAACATTTCCATGGTAGCGCATGGAAATTTCATTAACCAAATTAAATTGTTTTATTTATAAACAGCTTATTACCTACAAGTGATGCACATATGTGGTACACAGTAAACATCGTAGAAATGTGTTTTTTGTTGTTTTGAGATGTGGTCTCCCTCTGTTTCCCAGGCTGGAGTGCAGTGGCACAATCATGGCTCACTGCAGCCTCAACCCTCTGGACTCAAGTGATCCTCCTACCTCAGCTTCTCAAGTAGCTGGGACTACAAGTGTCCACCAACATGCCCAGCCAATTTTTTAATTTTTTTGTAGCAAAGAGGTCTTGCTTTGTTGCCCGGGCTGGTCTCAGACTCCTGGGTTCAAGTTATCCTCCCACCTCAGCCTCATTAAAGCCAAAGCCTGAAGGTAGGAAAGGAAGAGCCTTCAGGGAAGGGACCAAAATGTGCAAAGACCCTGAGGCTGAAAAGAGCTGAACATGGTCAAGGAATGGCTGGAGCTGAGAACTTGAGCATGCGCCAATACACACGGGGCCTTATATGCATAGACAGCAGGTTGGGATGTGATGAGGAGAGGCTGAGCAATGGGAGGCCATTGGTTCTGTTTAGCCAGGAGTGCAAACTGATTCAGTTTTCATTTTTACAAAATTGCTCCTGGCTGCTAGGTGGCAAATAGTGGGTGTGGGGAGACAGGGAAAAGAGATGCCAGGAGAACAGCTCAATATTACTTTGGAAAGAAGATTCTCTTCATCTAAGAATGGAATGGAAGGGAGATAATGTAGACTCAGATATTTCCATGTGAAGGGAAGGGAAAATGTTGCTCACAGTGGATGGGACTCACTTTTTCCCAAGCTTTGGTGCCAGAGAATCAAGAAGAGTAGGCCGCGCACGGTGCCTCATGCCTGTAATCCCAGCACTTTGGGAGGCCGAGGCAGGCGGATCACCTGAGGTCAGGAGTTCGAGACCAGCCTGACCAACTTGGCAAAACACCGTCTCTACTAAAAATGCAAAAATTAGCCAGGAGTAGTGGCACGCATTTGTAATCCCAGCTACTCAGGAAGCTGAGGCAGGAGAATTACTTGAACCTGGGAGGTGGAGGTTGCAGTGAGCGGAGATCATGCCATTGGACTCCAGCCTGGGCAACAAGAGCAAAACTTCGTCTCAAAAAAAAAAAAAGGTTTGCTGAGCAGCAGTAAGTGTAGAATCAATGCTAACATTAATTTGTACTGGGCTAAGATAGTAGGATTTTGTGATTTTTCAACATTAGGTCTACTGCCCAGGAGTAGGAATGAAAGAAATAGGATAATGATTCTGAATTGAAGATAGACCCCGTTGCACCTGGGGAAGGATTGACAGAAAGAGAACGTTGAATGTCACAAGGGTATTTTAGAGGGAAAAAATGGAAGCAGAAAGGAAAAACAGACTGAAACGGTAGAGAGAAAAGTGCCTGCAGGGAGGGCTTGGTGAAGAAACATCATTGTAGTGAAATGAATGAAATGTTCAACCTCTCTCCCCCTGCAAAAAAACAAAAAACAAGGAAAATCTTCTCTTTATATAATCTAAAGTTTTTACGTAAGTAAAAAGGAACAGGTAGGCCGGGTGCCGTGACTCACACCTGTAATCCCAGCACTTTGGGAGGCCAAGGCGGGTGGATCACCTGAGGTCAGGAGTTCGAGACCAGCCTGGACAAGATGGTAAAACCCCATCTCTACTAAAAATACAGAAATTAGCCAGGCGTGGTGGCAGGTGCCTACAATCCCAGCTACTCAGGAGGCTGAGGCAGGAGAATCCTTGAACCCAGGGGGCAGTGAGCCAAGATCGTGCCATTTCACTCCAGCCTGGGCAAAAGAGTGAAACTTGTCTAAAAAAAAAAAACAGGTTTCTTTGAATTTTTTTTTTTTTTTTTTTGAGATGAAATTTTGCTGTCACCCAGGCTGGAGTGCAATGGCACGATCTCAGCTCACTGCAACCTCCGCCTCCTGGGTTCAAACGATTCTTCTGCCTCAGCCTCCAGAGTAGCTGGGATTACAGGCACCAGTCACCACGCCCGGCTAATTTTTTGTATTTTTAGTAGAGACGGTTTCACCATGTTGGTCAGGTTGCTCTCGAACTCCTGATCTCAGGTGATCCACGCGCCTCGGCCTCCCAAAGTGCTGGGATTACAGGCGTGAGCCACCACGCCTGGCCGAATTTTCATAAATGATTTGAAAGAAAATGAGCTCATTCTTTCTTTTTTTTTTAGACGGAGTCTTGCTCTGTCGCCATCCTGGAATGCAGTAGCGTTATCTCGGCTCACTGCAACCTCTGCCTCCTGGATTCAAGCGATTCCCCTGCCTCAGCCTCCCAAGTAGCTGGGACTACAGGTGCGTGCCACCACTCCCGGCTAATTTTTTTTTTTTTTTTGAGACAGAGTCTTGCTCTGTCGCCCAGGCTGGAGTGCAGTGGCGCGATCTCTGCTCGCTGCAAGCTCCACCTCCCGGGTTCATGCCATTCTCCTGCCTCAGTCTCCTCAGTAGCTGGGATTACAGGCACCCGCCACCACACCCACCTAAGTTTTTGTATTTTTAGTAGAGAAGGGGTTTCACCTTGTTAGCCAGGATGGTCTCCATCTCCTGACCTCATGATCTGCCCGCTTCGGCCTCCCAAAGTGCTGGGATTACAGGCGTGAGCCACCGCGCCTGGCAATTTTTGTATTTTTAATAGAGACGGGGTTTCACCATGTTGGCTAGGATGGTCTCCATCTCCTGACCTTGGGATTTGCCCGCCTCGGCCTCCCAGAGTGTTGGGATTACAGGTGTGAGCCACCGCGCTCGGCCGAGCTTATTCTTAAAATACAGTAAAAACTTTAAGCTCTCTTTTAAGGTTCTTGTGGCTTGTTGCAGGAGATAGAAGAAAGGTGAGAAGCAGGCAGTAAATGGAAGCAGAAAGAGACACAAAGTTGTGACCACTAGGTTGTGACATGTTTGGGTTTTTTCACTTGAGCTGTATACTTCTTTGGTATTTCACGCCCTAGCCTGGTCCTTAGATTATGTCTTCTCAGGTCTTCTCCCAGTGCACACAGCAACAACAGACTGACCTGAACACCTCCGCCCACACACACCAAGCCTGGGCAAGGGGAAGGTAAAACTACCCACTTTGGGCCTACATGCAGTGAGGCCTTTCAGATACTGATAAAACATTGTTGCCCCCTCATGTGGCCAATGCTGGAAATACAGCTGAGACACGTATTCCAGGGCAGTGTAGCAGCCTCAGCAACTGGGAATTTGTTAGAAATGCATATCTCGGGATCCATCCTGACCTACTAAATCAGAATTTTGCTGGACCCTACCCCCAATCTGTCTGTTTTTTCTTTTTGTTTTGTTTTTGTTTTTTGAGATGGAGATGGAGTCTGGCTCTGTCACCCAAGCTGAAGTGCAGTGGTGTGATCTCTGCTCACTGCAACCTCCACTTCCCGGGTTCAAGTGATTCTCCTGCTTTAGTCTCCCAAGTAGCTGGGATTACAGGCGCGAGCCACCATGCCTGACTAATTTTTGTATTTTTAGTAGAGATGGGATTTCACCATGTTGGCCAGGCTGGTCACAAACTCCTCACCTCAGGTGATCCATCCGCCTTGGCCTCTCAAAGTGCTGGGATTACAGGCATAAGCCACTGCATCCAACCCAAATTTGTTTTTTTTTTTCTTTCTTTTTTTTTTTTTTTTTTTTGAGACCAAGTTTCGCTCTTGTTACCCAGACTGGAGTGCAATGGTGCGATCTCGGCTCACCACGACCTCCACCTCCCGGGTTCAAGCAATTCTCCTGCCTCGGCCTCCCGAGTAGCTGGGATTACAGGCATGCGCCACCACGCCCGGCTAATTTTTGTATTTTTAGTAGAGACGGGGGTTCTCCATGTTGGTCAGGCTGGTCTCGAACTCCTGACCTCCTGATCTACCCGCCTTGGCCTCCCAAAGTGCTGGGTTTACAGGTATGAGCCACTGCACCCGGCCCCAGATTTGTTTTCTAATAAGCTCTTCAGATGATCCTGATGAATGCTAACAGACTTGAAAACCGCCATTCTCAACCCACATGTTAAAACATGTTAATATCTTCAACTGCCCCATATCTGCCACACACACTCCCCCCAGAGTGATGTATCCTTTCTTTTTTTTTCAGATGGAGTTTCACTCTTGTTGCCCAGGCTGGAGTGCAGTGGTGCAGTCTGCAACCTCTGCCTCCTGGGTTCAAGCGATTCTCCTGCCTTCCGAGTAGCTGGGATAACAGGCGCCAGTAACCACACCCAGCTAATTTTTGTATTTTTAGTAGAGATGGGGTTTCTTCATGTTGGCCAGGCTGGTCTCGAACTTCTGACCTCAGGTGATCCAACTGCTTCGGCCTCCCAAGGTGCTGGGATTACAGGCGTGAGCCACCACGCCCAGCTTTAATTTCTGGTTTAAGAGTGGAGGCCAGGCGCGGAAATGGGGAAATGGAGTTTCCCTATGTTGCTTAGGGTAGTTTTGAACTCCTGGGTTCAAGTGATCCTCCCATGTGGGCCTCCCAAAGTGCTGGGATTACAGGCGTGAGCCAACATGCCCAGCTTTAATTTCTGGTTTAAGAAGAGTGGAGGCCAGGCGCGGAAATGGGGAAATGGAGCTTCCCTATGTTGCTTAGGGTAGTTTTGAACTCCTGGGTTCAAGTGATCCTCCCATGTTGGCGTCCCAAAGTGCTGGGATTACTGGCTTGAGCCACCATGCCTGGCCAGAGCCACTTTGGGAAGAGCAGTCTATACTTACCCTTTGTTTTTTTGTGACGGAATTTTGCCCTGTCACTCAGGCTGGAGTGCAGTGGCATGATCTCGGCTCACTGCAACCTGCACCTCCTGGGTTTAAGGGATTCTCCCGCCTCAGCCTCCGGAGTAGCTGGGTTATAGGCACCCAGCTAATGTTTGTATTTTTAGTAGAGACGGGGTTTTGTCATGTTGGCCAGGCTGGTCTCCAACTCCTGACCTCAGGTGATCCACCCACCTCGCCTTCCCAAAGTGATGGGATTACAGGCATGACCCAATATGCCTGGCTTTTTTTTTTTTTTTTTTTTTTTTTGAGACAGGGTCTTGCTCTGTTGCTCCGGCTGGATTGCAGTGGTACAATCATAGCTGTGAGTTTGAACTCCCAGGCTCAAGTGATCCTCTCGCCTCAGCCTCCCAGGTAGCTGGAACTAAAGGCATGTGCCACCATGCCTAATATTTTTTGTATTTTTTGTACAGACCTGGTCTCCCTATGTTGCTCAGGCTGGTCTCAAACTCCTGGGCTCAAGTAGTCTTCCCACCTCGGCCTCCCAAAAGTGCTGGGATTACAGACATGAGCCACTGATACCCAACACTAACCTGGCTAAGGTCACCCAGGCTGTAGAGAGGTAGAGCTGGGACAATGGCCTTTATCTGACTCCAGCATCCTCAGGATTTCCTCCCTTATCTGTAGAATGTGGATAAGATGACCAAGAACACATCCTAGAGGGCACGATAGCCAGGATAGGACTGTTCTAGGAACACACACGAGGCGTGTTAAAGAAGACTCAGAAAGATGAAAACCAGGAAAGAGCCCTGTGGCCGAGATCTACTCTGTATCCTAGAGTATTTTATGTACTTTTTGAAGCATTTTTTCACCAGTACTTAATAGCAACTGTTAGATCAAGCATTAGCTCCAGAGGAGTAAAAATCAGATTCCACAGATTTGTACTAATGTATCTAACACAGGTGGTAATGGCTTTTAAAAAAAAAAAATGAAAAACAGTCCAGGCCGGGCGCGGTGGCTCACGCCTGTAATCCCAGCGCTTTGGGAGGCCGTGGCGGGCAGATCACGAGGTCAGGAGTTCCAGACCAGCCTGGCCAACATGGTGAAACCAAGTCTCTACTAAAAATACAAAAAAATTAGCCAGGCATGGTGGCAGGTGCCTGGAATCCCAGCTACTCAGAAGACTGAGGCAGAAGAATCCCTTGAACCCAGGAGGCAGAGATTGCAGTAAGCCAAGACTGCACCACTGCATTCTAGCCCAGGCAACGGAGCGAGACTCCGTCTCAAAAAAGTCCAAACACACTAGGGGTTAAATAAGCTGCTTCTCTTTCCACTGTTTATTATTAATGTACAAAATATACAAAACCAAAAAAAAAAATACTCATCCTCAAATCCATTTTGGCTCTAACCCAAGACCCTGCACAAAACCCAACCAATCCACTGTTTTCATAGAAAACAACTGATGCCAAAGTGAAGGAGAGAACTGGGAAAGGGCAAAATCATCTTGTTGAATCCACCCAGGAAGGCGCCTGGTGGGGATTCAGAGGTGGTTGACAGGGTGAAGTACCTGGAAGCCTCCTTCACGCTGGCAAGGTTCCAGGTGGGAGCAGGGAGTGAGCTGACTCCCAAAGGCAGTGCATGTAGTGTGACTTTCAGGCCCAGCACGCCGGGCCCAAGTTGATGAGAAGCTGGTCTCACTGAAGTATTTTATCAAGTCTCCAGACTGGCTATAGTTGGCAAAGGCAGACCAGCACCACCGGTCTCACCTCTGCCAGCTAAAACTTGCACCGGATGCAGATACGAGTTCGCCATCATCGAACCTAGCAGACCCAGGACGCAGACTGGGTGTTCACAGAAAGTTGAAGGTCCCACTTGAGAAAGGACTAAGAATGGTGAGCCCACGCTGGGGGAGGGGTGGGGATGATGTGTGTTCCAGAACTCAAATCCAGCTGATTGAGCCCTCTCAGTGCAGTGGGATATACAATACCCCTTTCAGCATCTCCCCACCCCATGAGGAATAATGAACTTAGCTGGGATGATTTCTTAAGTGCAGCTGATCCTGTGTCAGAGTTCTGTGTGCATGTGGGGACCCGCAATAGAAGGGTAGGGGTGTTCGCCAGGATAACCAGCTTTAGGTTCTCAAGCATTAAGGGTAATACTGGAAAGGGGTTTGGGGTACAGGGCGAATCTTCTCAAAAAGTGAAGCCAACTGGGTCTCCTCTTCAGCAGTCCAGGAACGTTTCCAGTCTCTCTCCTCCCCAGACTGGAGGAAAATATGTACATCAATGCGCACCAGTGATCAGAAAACCCCCAGGAACCCAAGCAAGTGGGAACTGAGGGGGCCGGCTCCTCATCAGCTGGGGAAAAGGGAAAATGGGCCTCACAGAAGCCATAACAGGGTGGAAAGAGCGAGGCTGCAGTCCACAGGGGTTGTGTGAACAGGGCAGGCAAATGGTCCCTAGGGCAGGGGGGGCCCATTGACACCCGGGTGGTAGAAGGCACAGTTGTTCTCATAGCGGCAGTTGCCCTTCATCATGAAATGTCGGCAGACAGGGCGGTTTGACATGTCTGTGGGAACGATGGCAAAACAGTTAGACAGGAAATAGCTGAGGGCAATGCCACCCTCACCACCCCTTGTCCATGACATCCTGAGAACTGTCTTTCAGAGACAATCTTGGGGATTTGGGGGAAGGGCATAGAGTAGGAACTGCTATGCATACTAGGACATCAAAGAGACGGGTACCTCACGTTCTGCCTAGCTACCAACAGTAGTGACTCTCACCCACTCCCCAAAAGCTTGTATGGGACAACCAAAAGGCATATGGGGGACAGGGAGCATCCTCACCTCCTCCATGGCTGTGGCCTCCATCGTGCCCTCGGTGGCCCCCTCCCCCGTGGCCAGGACCATCATGGCCACGGTGCTCATGAGGTGGCGGCCCTCGATGGTCATGGCCTCGGTGACCAGGGACATCATGAGGCCGGTGGCCATGGGGCCCCCCGTGTCCAGGGCCTTCATGGGGACGATGTCCACCACTTCCACCCATGCTTCCGCCAGGGCCTTCGTGGGGGCGATGTCCACCACCGGCACCCATTCCTCCGCCAGGGCCTTCATGGGGACGATGGCCACTGCCACCACTGATGCCACCGCCAGGGCCTTCGTGGGGACGATGTCCTCCACCCCCACCCATGCTACCACCAGGGCCTTCATGGGGGCGATGCCCACTTCCCATGCCACCGCCAGGGCCTTCGTGGGGACGATGTCCACTGCTGTTGCCCATGCCCCCACCAGGGCCTTCGTGAGGACGATGCCCACCACCTCCAACCATGCCCCCACCAGGGCCCCCTCGTCCATTTGGGGGTCCTCCTCCAGAGCGACCTCCTCTGGCGCCTCGGAATGGAGGAGGAGGAGGAGGAGGTTCGTTTCCTCCTCGGCCACCTCGGCCTCTATGGTATGGTCCAGGACCTGGTCCTGGACCCCCCCGCATTGGGCCACCCCGCATAGGGTCGCCCGGGCCATCCCAGAAGGGATCACCTCCCCGGGGAGGGGGTGGAGGACCCAGAAGACGTGGACCCACTGGCCCACCAGGGCCTCCATGGGGACCTGTAAGGGGACAAAAAAGAGAGACAGTATCAGCTACCAGGAACTGCCATCTCCCAACCTAAACCACCACCTCCCACCTTCCAGTCAATCCTATACTATTATCAGACTGAAATTAAGCAGATAAGCCCATTCCAACCTTTTACTCACCACCTACCTGGCATAGGTCCCCCAGGTCCAGGGGGAAAGTGCTGCATGCCCTTGGGGCCCCCAGGACCCCCTGGTGGGAAACCATTGGCTATTGGGCCAGGGCCTAGGAGTCCATGTGGCACTGTTAATGAAAACAAGAGTAACACAGCATGAGCACTCTAGAAGACTAGCATGATCTCCCATTTAGGTGCAACCAACTGACCCTCTCAAACCAACCTGGCAGAGCAATGCTCTCTCTGTCCAGTCTTCCCCTCCCATTTCTTGCCTAGTGGCCACAGCCCTGTATTCTTCTGCATCTTTGAAACCCTGCTTCCCCCAACTCCACTGCAGGCTTCCTCCCCCAGTCCCCTGGGGCTGGCCCTGAAGATTACCCAGCATCTGCTTGATCTTGTCCGAATAGTCTGGTTGTTTCAGTAGTTCCTCTGAAGGATGACTGTTTGGGCTACCCTGTGAGGATGTAAGAAGGCAAAGTCAACAGACAGAAAGGGTAACAACCATGGCGAAAGATAGCGCCAAAGATTAGGGGTAAGTGGGTAGATGTGGAGAACTGGGGTAAGGCGAATGGGAGACAGTGAGGAGAGCGAGCTTAAGGAGGCTCCACAGAAGGTGGAAAAGGGGAAGGAGGGTGCGTACCATGATGGAGGTGAGGATCTCTTGGACATTAATGCCTCCTCCTCCAGGGCCTTGGGGGCCCTTTCCAGCACCCATGCTTCCCATAAGATTGGCCAGAACTGGAGGCAACTTGGAGCCTCCTGCCCCATCAGGTGAGCCACCTGACCCCCCAGGTTCCAGAGTCTCAACATACGGAGTCTCATCCATGGAACACTCCTGAAAGAAGAACAAAAAAAATCAGGACTGACAGAACAGAGACATTCTCATATGAAAGATGCACCGAATTCAATGACCATCACAACTTCCATCATCACAGAACATTGACTTACCTCATCTAGGGGGATGAGTTTAGGGGGTATGGGCTCGTAGGGCTCAGGATCAGGCTCATGAGGACTATCAGGAACAACACAGGTGAGAGAAAAAAGAATGATAGTCAAGTTATTAATTCAGACCCTGAAAGTAATTTCTAACCTCCACCCCGTAATTACCCCAGCTCATGTTCCCTCAGGAGTGTCCAAGCACTCAACATCCCAGGGCACGAACCCCACTCTGCTCACCTCTCCTTGTTCAGGAAGAGCTCCTGAAGGATTCCCTTCTCCCGCTCAGCCTGGATATATCGCTCCTGACTATTGCTTCCAGGGGTGACAAGAGGTGAGGGCAGAACCAGGGGCCGGGGGCACACCCAGGGCACCTTCTCCTCCATGTTATCATGGCTCAGACGCCGCGCTGTCTCAAATGCATGTCGGTCTGACAGTATCTCTCGCTTAGCCGCCTCACCAAAGTCCTTGATCTTATTCACATTTACTGTCGGCAGGGGAAGAAAAGCAAGAGGGAAAGTAAGCACAACCAAGTCCTTTCAAAATCCCTTAAACACACCTATTACGTAGGAAATGACCTCTTACCTCGTTCAGTTTCATCCAATTCAAAATAGAAATATTCTCTCAGTTTGCCTTCCTCAGGCCATGTCACACTTTTCCTCTTCCTGCCTTTCCGGGTCAGTTGGTTAGGATCTCCAGGACTCTCCACTGGCTTGGCATCCAGAGCTCCTGGCTCCAAAGAGGCTGGAAGCAGAAGAGGTTTCAGACCCAGATCCCTCCTTTCAGAAAACCCCCCAAACTGAACCAGTTTCTAGATTACCTGTATCCATGAGCTCCGGGACTTCAACAGGGGGAACCGGGGTGCCTGGACGGTCTGCGTCCATTGCCTCAGAAGGTGGTGCTGGTTCTGGGGAAGAAGGTTTGGCTGTGCTTGGTTCTGTGCTCGTTTTCCCTTCAAAGGGGCTTGGCTATTGTGAAAGAAAAGGAAGTTAATGAACTGACTGGAAAGCCAAGGGCAAGGCAATTAGTCCAGGGTCCCAGGCACAGTCCCCCAACAGTTCCTATATAAAGGAAGACTCTGTCTCCACAATGTCTCACCTGCACCAGTCTATATCCAAGGCAAAACGCCTCTTGTTGTCCTCCCCGACAACTCCTAGCTGCTGTGCCCTTTCTTCTACTTTACCTTTTATACTCTGTCACTGAAACCTACTTCTGGGAGCCCATACCTTGGCAGCCGTAGGTGACAGTACTTTTTTTTTCTTCTTAATTTTGATGCCTGGAACAGGGGCTGAATTAAGAGCATCCAGAAAGCCCAGGCCCTCCATAGCTACAAAAAGAAAGAGCACCAAATGGCATCATCAGACCTCCTTCATAATCCTACACCTGCAAACACAGTCCAGGCATAAAATGAGCCAGTGAAGACCCTGCCTCAACTTAGGACACGATAAGCTCAAGAGGACCAGGAAGCACATGCAGGAGGATTCACACAGGATATTCTTGTTGTTATTCTAGGTTTCTCATGGCAGGCAAGCCATAGCTTTGGATGTGAATTATAGCTCAGGTAGCTGACGAAGTGAGCCCTTGTGAACATGACAGATCACCTTACCAGGTGCCCCTGACCAGTCACAGAATGGCACACGTCCCTATCTTATCTCTAAAATTACTCCTAAGTGACCCCTGAAACGGGAGTTCCAGAGGTACAAAAAGTAAGGGATACCAAGAAATCAAAGGAAAATGGAGGGAAATAATAAAAGAGAAGGGAAAAAACTTCTCGTTCCCAGGGACATTCATTCCCATAAGAGTTTGCTCCTGGCCAGGTGCGGTGGCTCATGCCTGTAATCCCAGCACTTTGGGAAGCTGAGGTGGGTGGATCACGAGGTCAGGAAATCAAGACCATCCTGGCTAACATGGTGAAACCCCATCTCTACTAAAAATACAAAAAATTAGCCGGGCGTGGTGGCGGGCACCTGTAGTCCCAGCTACTCGGGAGGCTGAGGCAGGAGAATGGCGTGAACCCGGGAGGCGGAGCTTGCAGTGAGCCAAGACCGTGCCACTGCACTCCAGCCTGGGTGACAGAGTGAGACTCTGTCTCCAAAAAAAAAAAAAAAAAAGTTTGCTCCTAATTCAAAGTACATCTTCCCCACTTTAGACTCACGCTGTGGCGGGATGATCTTCACTTTGATCTCTTTGGTGGCATTAGGTGTTGTGTTGAGTGGCTTGTATTTCTTCTCTGCAGGGGGAGTGGCATCTCCTGGAGCAGCTACGTTGCTGTCAGAAGAGGAACTGTCATCAACATCTCCGACTCACCCCCTCCTGCTCCCTTGTGTCCACAGATCCACCCCATTCAGAGCCTGAGAATATGGTCCATACCTCTGACGTTTGAGGGGGATGGGTTTAAGGTTGTACTTGTCAGAAACCACCACTGTGCTGGCATTCTTCTTCACAGGCACCAAGGATGGTGTCTCCAGCTCTAGTCCTGGGGAAAGAAGCACGGTGTGGGCAGCTGAACTCAAACCCCAGACCCCCGAATTTTCCTCCCGTTCTCACCCGCAAATGTTCTTCTAGCCTTGTAACCAAAGCTTCCTCTGCTAGTCTTCCCTCTTCCTTACGATTAACATACCACACATCAAATGATTCCCCCATAAGGCTCTGGGTGTGCACATGCCCATGAACCCTCCAGAGGCCAGCCGCCAGTCTTACCAGTGGAACGGAACTTGGCATGACTGGGTGCTGTGGTGCGAAGAGACTTGGGCTTCTCCCTCTTCTTCTCTGGGGCCTCCTCAGCCCGGGTCTCAGCCTTCACCTCTGTCAAAGGTCGCTCAGGAAGGGTAGTTCGACTTTTTCCTTCATCTTTACGTTTCTTCTTATCTTTCTCTGTTGTGAAAAAACAAAGCAGAAAAGGATTTTATTTAGATGAACACTGTCAGAGGTGAAGCAGACTGGGAGCACCTAAAGGCCACATCCCAATAGGAAAGAAATAAATACAAAGGATAAAGGACTAAGGAGCTTACCAGCAGGCTGGGTACTGCTCTGAGAGCGGATGACAGCCATCCAGTCGCTGACAAGGACTGAGGCCAATTTCCGGAGCTCTGCAGGTGACAGAAAGGGGAAATGCCTAAATAATGTAAAGTAACATTCTTCCAGGAACAGAAAATGGGAGGTTTGAGAAAATATTGTGAAAATTTATGTAACGGAGAAAGTAACCCAAAGTTTTAAGAAGAACATGAGATATGCTTAAAAACCAAACCCTTAAAAAATGGAACAATGAATTAGAGTTGTGTTCTACTTGGATAACTTTCAACTCTGATGTCATCACACCACTCTGGAGTAAAAAGACCTAATATTTCAGAATATGTGGTTAAAATCTACATTAGTAAAAGACTACACGTTGGGTGCAGTGTACACTGCTTGGGTGATGAGTGTACCAAAATCTCAGAAATCACCATTAAAGAACTTATACATGTAACCAAAATCCACCAGTTCCTCAAAAACTGACATTTTTTTAAAAAGCTACGTTAGTTGCTTTATGTATAACACACCTAATTGTTACAACAATCTGAAGACTTTTTATTTTCCTTTATAGATGTGAAAACAAGAATAAAATTTGTTTCTAAATATATGAAAAAATACTTTGTAACTCTTTCCTTTTGTACTTGGCAAATAACATCTCTGATCTATGGCACCTCTCTTCTGGCCAACATTTCCACTTATAAACTCATTTCATAATTTATCATTTAGTAATAGGAGTTTCACAGATGAGACACGCTAGGATGATACTATTTCCCACAGCAAATTTTAAGTGTATGTGTTTTATAACAAGCAATTTTAGGAATCAGCTTCCAGTTAAAGTATGGCACCTTATATTCAGCAACAGAGAAATGAACAACTTTGGAATTGAGAACAGGAAAGAGGGTACAGGTTAGAGGAACTTTCTCTTTAAAAGAAGGAAAAAAAGCAAGGTGAGGTAGAAAGAGAAAAGTGAAGGGACAATCCAAGGATGGGAAAAGATATTAAGGTAATTAAGTGGAAGTAATAGAGAAAAGCCCATGAGAGAGCAGGAGTGGCACCCTACCTTCATCCTCACTTGACTTGCTCAGCTGCTTCACCAGTTTAGCTGTGTTGTTCTATGAGAGATGGGAGCAGCAGAAAGGTAAATGCCAGGAGGCAAATAATTCCACTTAGAGCTAAAAACGACAAAAGTTACAGTCCTCCCTGCTTTTTTTTTTTTTTTTATTTTTTGAGACGGAGTCTCACTCTGTTGCCCAGGCTAGAGTGCAGTGGCGCAGTCTTGGCTCACTGCAGCCTCGACCTCCCAGGCTCAAATGATTCTCCCACCTGAGCCTCCTAAATAACTGAGACTACAGGCATGCACCACCACATCTGGGTAAATTTTTTGTATTTTTTGTAGAGACAGAGTTTTATCATTTTTGCCCACGCTGGTCTTGAACTACTGGGCTCAAGCAATCCACCCACCTCAGCATCCCAAAGTGTTGGGATTACAGGTGTGAGCCACCACACCTGGCTGACACATTCCTTTTTTTTTTTTTTTTTTGAGACGAAGTCTCACTCTGTCGCCCAGGCTGGAGTGCAGTGGTGCGATCTCGGCTCACAATAACCTCCACCTCCTGGGTTCAAGCGATTCTCCAGCCTCAGCCTCCTGATTAGCTGGGACTACAGGCGCATGCCACCATGCCTGGCTAATTTTTTGTATTTTTAGTGGAGACGGGGTTTCACCACGTCAGCCAGGATGGTCTCAGTCTCCTGACCTCATGATCCGCCCGCCTCAGCCTCTCAAAGTGCTGGGATCACAGGCGTGAGCCACCGTGCCCAGCCGCCACACACCTATTAAAGGAGATAAATTCAAACCAAGTCTTCTTCTTCTAAATTCCTATTTTTTTTCTGCTGTTCTACCTCACAGGCCCAAGATTACAGCCACATCAGTCAGTTTGAGTTTTTCATCCATTAGACTAAACCAAAAAAGGAAGAATCAGGGTTTAAAGACTAAAGGTACCTGCTTGAGATGGTCTACAGTGAGCGGTAGATGCTGCAGGGTCAGTAGAATTTGCTGGAGGAGGGGAATGTTGTTGGTTGTCTTTGAATACGTCAGCCAATTGTTAAGAAGTTTGTAGCCGCCAACGTCAATAAATCTGCAGGCAGGCAGGAGAGTCTATCAGTAATGCCCTTTCTAGGTTTTGACAGTACCACATCCTACAATCCCAGTCTCCCATCAATGACCCAGGAACCCCATGCCTCACCGCCCCATCTTTTCGCTACACCTTCCCATTCCAACCATCCAGATCCCCACTTACTTGACCAATATTTCTGGTGAACGGGTCTGCAGGAGAATGTTCAAGTAAGTGCATCGACTCACCATCTTTCGTGCTTCCTTCATCAAACTGCAGAAGATGAGTTAGGGTTAGAAATGAAGCAGCCAGTATCTCTTCTCTTAGCAAAAGCGCCTCTCTGTGAACTGCCTAGAGATTCCTAATGACTTGGGACTTTGCTCCAGAGAAGGGGAGTCACATATACCTCTAGGAAGATGGGATGGATCCAGTGTGACATGGAAACTTATGGGAGAACAGAGACACCGCAGTCTCTGACCTGGGGAGGAGAGCATCGCTGCCTCCGTAACACACAGGATGAATTCCATTCTGCCTCCAGGTGATAAGGCTATCCCTCAACAACTGTCCCTAATAGTCTGTTCAAGACTGGCTTAGTTATTTACTCTCCCCTGAAAAACCTGAGAATCCCTGAAGGAAAATAACATTATGGGTAGGTGGAACACGAACCAAAACAATCTAGAATTCTGTTACCAGGCTACCCTGCTCTCATTCCAAAGCATGACTCCCTTGGGACCGTGGACGTCCAAATCTCCAGTTTCCATTATGGTCAGAAACAAGTGATCATCTTTTCCTATCCCTTATCCTAAAATTGTTACATTTTAATCCTATTGCACTGACTATCTTTCCCTTTCCTTTCCAGGATCATTCCAGTGTGCCTCAACTGCAGCCATGTTTTAACACACAATATTCTCTACTCACAGTGAATACAAAAAGGGGTAAAGACTCACCTGAAGATCTTGGAAATCCCATCCACACTTTTGACTTCCCCATCTCGGTTAAGGAAGCTGTCCAGGCCCTTGAGAAGTTCTTTGGGGTCTATGGGACCCGAACCCATGATGGTGGTTTCTATGGTAAGAGGACAAAACAAACAAACCCACAGAATAAATGGGTGGCAAGGACTACCCGAGTAGGCCCTCTAATAAACCACATCTCTATATTTGACAAAGTATAATGACTAATTATTCAACTATGCTATTTTTTAGATATGAAAAATCGACACAGACCACTTGCCACTACTGAGAAAATAGCCCTGGCAAGTTAAGCATGGGGAGCATATGTGACTGAACAGGAAAGCAATTCGATTGGAGGAGTAGGGCAGCACACCTGTCCCTCCCTCCCAGCAGCATCCTTCCTAGGATGGCTGAACTTCACTAGATCGTATTAAAGCTAAGATCAGTTCCCATAACAAGATGTTCAACTCTCCAGGGCATTTACACCTATCGTTAAGTCCTGTCTTCCCTAGTTGCTGATAAATTTGGCTTGAAAAACAGCCTATAGCTTGATAGAAATTGGGCCAATCTTGGGTGTTTGAGCTAAATGTCTTATAAGACTTGAGTCCTTTTTATCTTAGCCCATTAAGAGTCATAATCACTACACATGGCAAGATATGTATCAGCTGAAGTGGTAGATGATGGAGAACAAAACAAAACTTGAAAACAGAATCCCTCCCTAAGGAGATCTGGGAGTAGGTGCCAGAGATTGAGACAAATGGATGCATGGAAATCAAGCAGGTCCTCCTAGACCTTGAATAGACTGTCACTCATTAGCCAAACACTACACAAGTTTTTACTGTCTCTAAGTTAAAAGGAAGCTAGTGGTTTGTGCTTTCAAAAGCAAAGATGCGAATCTGGTCCTCTCCTCAAAAATCACGCTGTACAAGATCCCCTAGGAAAGCCTAAAACTGAAAACCATGGAACCTAAAAAGGGAACAGATAAAGCCAAATGCTAGAAAAATTCCCTTTTAAGCAGCTGTTTTAGACCAGGTTGGGAAGGGAATTAGTTAAAAGCTAAGCTCCTTTTATGGAAGGGACAAGCCAGAACTGAAGTTCCAGAAAGGTAATTTAGGATCAATATGGTTCTGATTGGGATTTTTATCTACACTGCCTCTAAATACTTGCTTCTAAGACCCAAAAAAGAGGCTGGGTGCAGTGGCTCATGCCTGTAATCCCAGCACTTTGGGAGGCCAAGGTGGGCAGATTCCTTGAGCGCAGGAGTTTGAAACCAGCCTTGGCAACATGGCGAAACCTCATCTCTACAAAACATAAGTCGAGTGTGATGGTGTGCACCTGTAGTCCCAGCTACCCGGGAGGCTGACGTGGGAAAACGGGAGGACTGCTTGAGCCCAGGGATACTGAGGCTACAATGAGCTGTGATTGTGCCACTGCACTCCAGCCTGAGAGACAGAGTAAGACGCTGCCTCAAAAACAAACAAACAAAAAACCACCAAAAAAGAAAGCCACTTCAGCAATATCTGCCTTTGGGCAATAAGGCCCACACTGAGTAGCAAGGAAGAGGCAAGAACAAAACCTTCCTCATCCTACATCTAGCACAGAAGTAACAGACACAATCCCAGCAGAAGGGTAGAAAAATCAGTATTTTACAAAGATGAGTAGTTTTGTGCCGGAAAAAACACAGGTTTCTTGTAAGATAATGCAAATTAGTTCTACTTGTTCTCAAACAAAAGAAAAAACATAGCATAACAATCTCAGCCTTTTTGTCCTCCCAACAAAAACGTCAGTAAGTTTCCAAATGTGTAGGTCCTAACAACCTAGGCGAGCAGCAGCAGAAGCAGGGAGGAGGCAGCCAGGAAGGGTAGGAGTATAATCTTGGCTCTGGAGATCATAACCTGTGGGCTGAACAGAGGGAGAGATGAGGCAAGAAATGTTGAGAAGTCGCTGCTGCCCTGGAACCTCCACAAATACAAGTGGAACCTGAGGTCAGAGAAAAAACATTCAAGGAGAATACTGGAAAAGATTAGATGTCCGTGGGCCAAATCCACTCAAGTGTGGTGATTCCTACACACACAGAGACAGACACAGAAATAAAGGTATTCTTCCCATGTAGTGAGATACTATAAAGTGATCTATAGAAACTATAAAGAGATACGATAAAGGGACACATAAAACAGATATCACATCTGTTGGAGACTGGAAAAGCAATGTATGGGTTCCAATAACAACATATCATAAGCAATCAAGAGACTAAGAAATTTTTAAAACTCCCTCTCTCTATATATACACACATACCTACCATTAGATTCCTAAAGCAAAATATATGCAATTTGACAAAAGGCCTTGAATTAAACATCATTTCAAACCAGTTACCCTTGACTGATTCAAACCCAGAGTTGAATATATATAACCCTGGAGAATTCCTTTTTGCATATCCAACTACAAGCTAAGCCAATAAATAGACCTACTACCCCTATTTCCTTCAGACACTAAATAAACTGTCATCTGAGCTCAAGTGTTCCTTAAGAGGATGGGAGACAAGAAAGAAGAGCCAGTCTTAGAAAAATGGACCAATGAGTACAAAGCTAAATTCTGTCCAGTGCCCTCTGCTGGAAATGGGATCCAGGGACTTTTTTATTCCCACATGTATAAACAAGAATAAAAGACATTAATAGTCAAAGGGAAGCTAAGAGACAAAGCAAAATTAGCGTTAAATATTCATTTTCCACTACTTATATTTTGGAAATATAAGTGAAATTTTGTCTCATGAGCACCAATCTTGATAAAATGTAAGTGGGTTTTCTCATGATGGCCTTCCTTCAGGAAGATTAGTTCTTATTTAAAATTAAGGACCCCAAGTGTCTTATAACCTAGTTTCCTTGCTTTGAAGTCAGTATATTTTGGAAAAAAACCAAACAATTTCCAAGGCGCTCAAGTGGAAAGGAATGTAAAGTCCAACATTTCGGGCACAGGGCTACAGCAGAGAAGGCAAACTGAGTTGATGAAGGCAGGCAGGGGCCGTGACTAAGTGTTGTAACATTACCTACTCAAGATCTGGAGTCTAGAATGAAAGCTTAAGAAAGCTTTCTGGAACCACAAGTAATCCACGGCATGATTATGTCTTCTTTTAATGAGCTGCTATTTTCTTGACTGCAGAACATACAGAAGGTGGGGAGTGAGGTAGCAACCCCCTGGCCTACCTCCACCTCATCCTAAGCTATGCGTTCCTTATGGAGAATGTTTCAGGCAGAGCCATACTCTACTGGCACAAGGCATTGGGGAATTTTCTACCATTTTTACCAGAGATAAACGTCTGTGACACCAACTCCTGCCTTCAAAATGAATTTTACTTGAGGGTTATTCAATTAAATAGGGTGAAAAAATATCCAGCATAGCTAAAGTTATTCCACACCCATCACCAATGAAACAGGACTGAATTGGTTCAGGATAAAAATTCTGTGCAAGTCAGAGCTCTTTAAAAAATAACTGTCTTCTAACAAAAGGAGAAAAAAGTCCCAAATTTACCTTAATTTAGAGGCACTTCTGGAAATGAAAATGATTTGTACCTAACCCCTTATGTTCCCCTTCCTTTCTTCAGTGTTTTAGGCACTTCCTAGTTTGACACAATAGTGGACTGAATTATGTCTCTCAGGTGATTCATCACAAGGTCATAGCTTTCTTCCAAGTAGTAAGCCCCTACCCCTCAGTCATTTTGCAAACCTGATACATGAGCTCCTCAAAAGCTTATCTGCCTTCCAATAAAGATGCAAAATGATATACCACCCTGACTCATAGAAAAAGACCCCAGACTAGAACTCTGGCCACAAACTACAAGGATCAGGTTTTCCAAGATTTTCTGAATGGATGTGGTTCCCCTAGTAGACCTGGCTTCCCATCTCCCATGTTAAGGAAGATCTTCTTTATTAATCCCCTGGCTCACTAGAGATCAGGAACCCCAGTGGGTAGAATGTTCAGCTCCCAAGGAAGATATGCTGCAGAGGCACATGGCAAACTGCTTAAAAGAAAAAAACAAAACAAAACAAAAAAAGCTTGTAGTCAACAGACATGTGAAGAGTCCCTCCCATCCAATCCAGAAGCTTAAGTAATAATTTGAGAATCTGTACCCAGTAGGAAGTTAGCCCTAAGTCTCACCCAGGTCACCAGAGGGCAGTTATACTTTCCAATTCTGCCTAGAACCTCCACGCTTCAGTGCAGGACTTTTAAAAATTAAAATTATATGGAGAGTCTGATAAAGATTTGACTTTGAAAAATTTGGGGGAAGAAAGGAACCAGACACCCAATACCACCCTCAGATAGGGCATGGCTTCTGAACATGCACCAAATGCCACAGCACTGCATGAGTTGAAAAATGAAGAGGACATCATTTTTTCATTAATGCTTTTAGGAATTTCTTTTAGAAGGGAAGGAAAAAGAAATTCAAAAAAGGTGGCTCTTTGGGGAAAAAAAAAAAATGAAAGTTGTGAAATGTAATACCAGAAAGGTTTTGCTTACCAGAAACCGTAGCTTGATTCCCCCTGCCTTGAGTTTACAACTGCCGCCTCCTTTCCTAAAGATTCACTTCTTATCCTAGTACCAATGTACAGGAACTAATCAAGTGCAGAACGTGATACAGCACTGAATACAGTTTATCCCCAAACTGAGAGGTGGGAATGAGGGCGATTTAGAAGAAAGTCCTAAAAGTACCCACCTTCCCCCGATTCTCATTACACAAAGCGACCAAATGCAGGAGGCCCACTGGTTCCTAAGCAGAAATGGCACACTTCAGTGTCATTAGGCCCGTTTATCTCCAAGTTACTCTTGCAAGCCCTTGTGTCTTTCCCATCTCCCTCTACACACATATATACATACACACACGCTCACACACATCCTCAAAGCTTCCCAGTCTTAGGTTTGCCTGTTTTTTCACCCCTGGCAGCTGAAGTGGGGAAAAATTACAAGCAGTTGTGATGAGTGAAGGAAAGTGAAAATAAAAACTGGTTCTATAAAAACTAGAACTACACAGAGATGGACAGCCTTGATACTTAATTCCTATAAGCTCCTATCCCTTTAAGATATTTTATATAATGAAAATAAGGAAAATGTCTTCTCCCTAGCAGCAACGAGCACAGGCAGTGCAAAAGCATCTGCTCAGGGGTGGAGCTTCAAGAGGGTGGAGAGAGGAGGAAGAAAGCTGATTACATCACCTTTCAAGGCTGCTCCTCCCACTTGACCAAGTTTCTAGGGCGGCCCTAAGCTCAGGATGGCAAAAGGGGGAGAAAAACAACAAAGACGGAGGGACGCCATTTTGTAATGGAGAAAGAGGACTTAAACTAAAAAGCCACCCGGCTCTGCCGGTAGCTTCAGTTACATTATAAAACACCTTTTTAGTAAAAAAAAAAAAAAAAAAAATCAAAAACCAGTTCCCCATCGTGAATAATCTTTGACCTATTTTGATCAGTAAGAGCGTAGTGAAAATTAAAGCAATTAAAATATTAAAAAGAACAATTTTCTGCAGGGAAGAACTGAATTTGCAACGGAGGTTCAACCGGCTACCATCGACCACCCCCATCCTCCCTATAGAGGGAAAGGGGGAGGAAGGACTTGGACCCCTCTCAACAAATAGGGTTGAGGTGGGAGGACAGGAAAAAAAATGGGTCAAGACACAACCTGCAACGCCGCTTGGAAGACAAAAGGACAAGGAAAGTCGCCATATTGAAGCAGGGAAGAAAAAAATTCCTTTTAA
Source organism: Homo sapiens (assembly GCF_000001405.40). Classification (NCBI taxonomy): domain Eukaryota; kingdom Metazoa; phylum Chordata; class Mammalia; order Primates; family Hominidae; genus Homo; species Homo sapiens. The sequence continues at coordinate 1,871,414 of NT_167245.2, forward strand.
CGACACAAATCTTTTAGAAAGCTAGCATTCAATTGCACTAAATGGCTTTTAAAATTATACTCCTAAATTCCACATTTCCCAACCTTTCCACCCTCTATTTAACTGTACCTCCCCCACCAAAAAATATCAAGTTAAAATGTTAATCACTCTTTTGCTTTTAAATACCTATGCAATCTGCAACAATTATAAGACATTCTTTACCTCCCCAACTATTATCTTGTATGTACTGGCACTAAGATTATATTTTGTCCTAAGTGTCTTGCAATCTTTATTCCTAGATTGCCACCTATTTTAACCACACAAATATACCCCAAGCAAATTACATTAAAATTGAGAGGATTTAACAGTCATTTAAAAAGTTATAGCGAGCTATTACTTCTCTCTGCCCATCTCCTTACCCTGCAATCTTTATGTACAGATTGCTTATTAATCTGGCAAATTGAAAGGCACCCTGCTTGTCTCACACACAAAGAAGTGGTACTTCTGGGCCACAAGATCCACCATCTCTTGTATGTGAGCTCATTAACCCTTTTGAAGACTGCTGCTAACCAGAGGAAGGTAACCATTCCTCCTTATATAAACACATATGGCTTTGGCAGTCTGGAAATTGGCTGGATTACCAAGGGTTAACCATCAAAATCCTCACTTGCTGGCCCTCCCTCCACCCTCTCTTTGCCTGCAGCAAGGCAGGGAAGAGATAGGTGGTAGGGGAGAGAGAACAAGACTGTTTAGACCCACAGGCCCTTTTTAATGGAGATTAAGTGACCAGATTGGTCCTTCTCCAGTTCTCTATTTGTTCTATGGTCTCATTTCTTCCTCTCATTATTTTTGGTTTCACAACGGGAAACGTTGATTTCTTGTTGCAAGGCTGGTTTTTGAAAATTCGACACTTACTATCCAATTTTTTTGCGACGTCAGCACCTCGGGCTCAGGGGGGAGGGGGTAAAATTTTGGAGGAAAAAAAATAAAACAACCAACCAGGACCCAAAACTCAATTATTTAGGGGGCCTCATTGGATCAAAAAGTCTTTTAAAAAATAAAGGCCAACTCAGTATTCATTTCCCCCCCACCCAACTCCATTTAGGGAGGGGGGTCGCAGAAAAAAGTTCTGAGTGGATTCAAAAAAGTAAACGCTGGATGAGTGAATTTGGGTGGTTTGGGAAGGGAGGGTGGTTGATTATTTTTGAAGTTATGTAGTGACGGTCCTTCGGCCACAGATTTCAAGTCCCAAGCAGCGTGGGCTGGTGGGGTGGGCAAGATAGGTGGGAAGGGGCAGAAGACACAAGTGGTTGGGCTGGTGGCTGCTGTTTTCCCTTTCCCCCCTCTCTCAGGATCCTTTCAAGGGCTTAGATGTTGCTGCGGCTTGTTTCTGTTTTCCTCGTGGCCGGCCTGTCTTTCTCCGAGAAAATTCAAACCTGGGATAAAAGGAACACAAGGGAGAAAGATGTAATCAGTACGGGTTGCTTCAAAACACTCACAAATGCCATCTTTGTTGTCCCCAAACAAACCTGTGTCCCATCCTGATCGCAACCGCTTTAAGCCGTGGCTCTCAAATGAACCCATCCATCCCTATCCCGCTTCCCAGATCCAACGCTCTCCGCAAAATTTTACCCACTAGACGACAAAGTAGGCAAACTTACCTCTAAACGAACCCCAGAATGGCGGCCGCCCGCTCGGGTGGAGTCTTTTATACCCGGACGCCGCCCAACGCGCCCAAACGTGCTAGTGAAACGCCCTTGTCGCGAGACATTATACGCGAGGCGTGAACTCATTGGTCAACCCAAATGACAACTCGCCAACTGATTGGCTACTCTCACTTCACCTTTGCTCCGCCCCTTTCCCTGGCACTCTCTTCCGCCTCCTTCCTGCCTCCCTGTCGCGTGCGCGTGACCAGGAGCCTAGCACCTCCCTTTCCTCTGCTTCCGCCACTTCCGCCCTGGAGAACATTTCTCACCCAGGATTGGTAGAAACCTAAGAGCGCATGCGCACTGAGAGGATACCGCTAAAAATCGCCTTCAAAATTGCTTAAAAGGCAAACTTTAACAATGCGATCTAAGAGTCGTAGTGACTGGCCAAAAAAAACCGCAATTTTGGGGTCTAATTCGATTGTGACGCAGTTGAAATTAGCTTCTCCCCCATGCCTTCCCTTTCACGCTTCCGTCCTGACGCAAACGTGGGGCCGCCTTCCGCACTGCGGGCTTGTCCTTGGCCCTGCCCTACTCAGTTTCCTGAAGCATGCGCAGTTGCCTTTCCGTCAATTCCTGTCCTGGGCGTACGTCAAGATGGCGGCGTCTGTATTAAACACCGTGCTGAGGCGGCTTCCTATGCTATCTCTCTTCCGAGGTTCTCACAGAGTTCAGGTAACTCTTCGAAAGACATTTTGCACAACCTCAAGTTGGTTATACCTTCTCGAGGTTGTCGCTCCACTGTCAGGAATCCACGAGTGGAGACCTTCCCACGTGTGTCTTAGCTGTCTAGGCAGTACTTCCTGCAACCCCCCCCCCACACCCCGCGCATTTTCTAATCCCGAGCCGAGGACTAAACGCCAGGGTTAGGTATCATCCTTTTTCCAAAATGCCATTTCAGTAAAATAACTTAAGTGATGGAATTGACCCCTGTCCACCCTCAGTCATGCATAACCAGCTTTTTAAAAATTATTTAACTAATTAAAGGGCCATGCTAATCTCTGTATCGTTGCAATTTTAGCATAACATATGTACTCCCCAAGCGAGCGCCACAACCAGCTGTTAACTATGCAAGTGGTGACTAAATCTGTGTTGCTCTGGAATGTCCTTGGGGAAATTAGGGATCCCAATTTCTACCAACCTTGCTATTTCTCAATAAGGTCAGGATATATTCTTACGACCTGAGGACAGTTTCTCAGCTCTCTTTATTAAATCAGTTTCTTATCGGAGTTATGAGAGCTTAACTCCGTCCTTTGAATTGAGGTTTCCCTCCAGTCTTGTGTACTCACCTCTCTGGAGGTTCTTGGTGGGGCACGGTGAGATAGGAAGGCTTGCCCAGCTGCCACTCCCTAAAGTGGGACTGAAGAGTGGTGACAGAGGTCAACACAGAAATAATAACAGCCTTGGTAGCTTTAAAACTAGCGTTAGGACTCAAGTTTGTTCTGCCCTGTAGAATGTTGACCTTCAGCTTTTATGAAAATGGGCAACTCAGTGACTTCATTGGATTGATTTGGAGACTCACCTGTCTTCTGCATCCCCTCCCCACCACACATCTTAGTTCCAAGAACCTAGATATCCTTCCTCTTACTTTATTCTTCCACCAGAGTCAATTTATTTCCAAAAAGCAAGAATACCTTTTATGTACTAGATTTTTTTTTCTTTTTTCTTTACACGAAATCTCACTCTGTTGCCAGGTTGGAGTGTAGTGGCGCAATCTTGGCTCACTGCAACCTCCGCCTCCCGGGTTCAAGTGATTCTCTTGCCTCAGCCTCCCGAGTAGCTGGGACTACAGGCGCATGCCACCACGCCGAACTAATTTTTGTATTTTTAGTAGAGATAAGGTTTCACCATGTTGGCCAGGATGGTCTCGATGTCTTGACCTCATGATCCGCCTGCCTGGGCCTCCCAAAGTGCTGGGATTACAGACGTGAGCCACTGCGCCCGGCCTTGTACTAGACTTTTTATTTGTCTTCTGAAATAAGATTGTTTTTTAGGCATATATCCCCTAACTTAGCTTTTCTTTCAGGATCCAATTGTAGAAAAGGAGAGTGGTTGTTGATTTATGTCAATTTAAACCCAACAAAAATACTTAACTTACATATGCATTCCTGTTATATTCCATTAATGCAGTATGTGTGCATTCCTCCTTTCCAAAGTGTGATAAGCAAAACAATTTAGTCCTTTCCTTAAACTCATTCTTTTATTTTTTTCTTCTCCTTTGTAGGTTCCCCTCCAGACTCTTTGCACCAAAGCTCCCTCTGAGGAAGATTCTTTGTCCTCAGTTCCCATTTCTCCTTATAAGGATGAGCCCTGGAAATATCTGGAATCAGAAGGTACCTCTAAAGGGGGAAAGGGAGGGTCAGATAGGATTTGAGATAAGTGGACAGAGCCACCCACTACACTCCCACCCAGGAATAACTTGTATGATCTTTCATTTCAGAATACCAGGAGCGATATGGTTCTCGCCCCGTCTGGGCTGACTACCGCCGCAACCACAAGGGTGGTGTACCCCCACAGCGGACTCGGAAGACATGTATTGTGAGTTTCTGAGAGTGGGATGTGGAGTGCGGGGAGGCCACAAGTAACAGTAACAGCAGCACTTTTTCTGACGTGTTTGAACATCCTTAACTGCTGTTTTTTTTCTCTCTACAGCGTCGGAATAAAGTTGTTGGGAATCCCTGCCCCATCTGTCGAGATCACAAGTTGCATGTTGACTTTAGGGTAAGGAGAGTCTTTTCTTTTTAGGGTAAGAAAAATAAAGATTAGGGGCTGGGCGCGGTGGCTCACGCCTGTAATCCCAGCACTTTGGGAGGCCAAGGCAGGTGGATCATGAGGTCAGGAGATCAAGACCATCCTGGCTAACACGGTGAAACCCCGTCTCTACTAAAAATACAAAAAATTAGCCGGTTGTGGTGGCGGGCGCCTGTAGTCCCAGCTACTCAGGAGGCTGAGGCAGGAGAATGGCGTGAACCCGGGAGGCAGAGCTTGCGGTGAGCTGAGATCGCATCACCGCACTCTAGCCTGGGCGACAGAGTGAGACTCCGTCTCAAAAAAAAAATAAAATAAAATAAAAAAAATTAAAAAGAAAAATAAAGATTAGGAGCCCCTTTGCAGTGCCAAAGAGATTACTGTAGGTGCCCCACACTTCGTATATCCAGGAGGCCCTACAGTCCGTTTTATAGTAACTGTTTCTGGCATTATAAAAACATCCCTCCAGCCTTTTACCTTCTACTATGGATTGTACTGAAAGTTTTATCCTATGCCTATGAAATTTACAGTCTAAATTGGCAGGTAAGAGAAATGGCTGTTTTTTTTTTTTGAGACGGAGTCTTACTCTGTTGCCAAGGCTGGAGTGCAGTGGCGTGATCTCAGCTCACTGCAACCTCCGCCTTCTGGGTTCAAGCGATTCTCCCGCCTCAGCCTCCCAAGTAGCTGTAACTACAGGCTTGTGCCACCAAGCCCAGCTATTTTTTGTATTTTTAGTAGAGACAGAGTTTCACCATATTGGCCAGGCTGGTCTCAAACTCCTGACCTTGTGACCCACCCGCCTCGGCCTCCCAAAATGCTGGGATTACAGGTGTGAGCCACCACACCCAGCCAGCGAAATGGCTATTTCTAGTGGGAGAGCCAATATCCAAAGATTCGTTTGTATTCATTACAGTTATTACCAAATATATTGGCCCACTTTCTTCCTGAGGTTTTCTTTATTTCCTTGTCAATGTTCAGTGCCATGCTGGCACCTGGGGCTGGAGGGCAGGTATATGAAGCAAGATAGAGTCCATTATTTTTCAAAAAGCCTTCAATATGTGAGAAGGACAGGATTTGCTCCTTAAAGAATTTGAAAACATATTGGCTGGGTGCGGCGGCCCATGCCTGTAATGCTAGCACTTTGGGAGGCCCAGGCAGGTGCTTCACCTGAGGTCAGGAGTTTGAGACCAGCCTGGCCAACGTGGTGAAACCCTGTCTCTACTAAAAATACAAAAATTAGCCAGGCATGGTGGCAGGCGCCTATAATCCCAGCTACTTGGGAGGCTGAGGCAGGAGAATTGCTTGAACCCGGGAGGCGGAGGTTGCAGTGAGCTGAGATTGCACCACTGCACTCCAGCCTGGGCGAAAGAGTGAAACTCCTCAAAGAAAAACAAAACAAAAAGAATTTGAAAACATTATATCAATAAAACAGATAATGGGAAAGTGTTCTTCTGAGCTTGCAGCAAAAGTATTAGAGCAGAAGCTATATGGCTGATCATCAGGGAAGTAGTAGAGCATTTGGATAACAGTCAGAAAATGGGGGTATTTGACTGCAATAAGAACCCTTCTAACACAGGTTATTTAGGAGTCCCATAGATAATTTCCCAGTTTCAATTGCATATAATTGGTTATAAAAAGAGATTATGGCCAGGTGCGGTGGCTCATGCTTGTAATCCCAGCACTTTGGGAGGCCAAGGTGAGTGGATCACTTGAGGTCAGGAGTTTGAGACCAGCCTGGCCAACAAGGTGAAACGCCGTCTCTACTAAAAATACAAAAAAAATTAGCTGGGTGTGATGGCGGGCGCCTGTAGTCCCAGCTTCTCAGGAGGCTGAGGCAGGAGAATCACTGGAACCTGGGAGATGGAGGTTACAGTGAACCAAGATTGCACCACTGCACTCCAGCCTGAGCAGCAGAGCGAGACTCCGTCTCAAAAACAAAACAAAACAGAGATTATAATTAATTACATAACTGAGAGAGAGAAATGTTACAAATTTAGTAGCATGGGTGATTCTGCTTGCATTCTACTCTACAATGTACCTGCTTTTTTTTCAAGAGTCTCATTTCCTAGTTAATTTGCTGAGAGAGAGTTCTATGTAAATTGTAAAATTATTCTTAGTATATAAATTATATTCAGCATACTATTAAATACATTAGTTGTTTATACATACACATTACAATATCATTTTTTGGGTGATTTCTGGGATTTCCAATGACCAGCCCCAGTTTTTCACCTAAAGGCTGACGTTAGAACTTAACCTCTGCAGCCCAGGCGCGGTGGCTCATGCCTGTAATCCCAGCACTTTCTGAGGCCAAGGTGGGTGTATCACTAGGTCAGGAGTTCAAGGCCAGCTTGGCCAAGATGGTGAAACCGCATCTCTACTAAAGATACAAAATAATTAGCCAGGTGTGGTGGCAGGCGCCTGTAACCCCAGCTACTCGGGAGGCTAAGGCAGAGAATTGCTTGAACCTGGGAGGCGGAGGTTGTGGTGAGCTGAGATCGCGCCACTGCACTCCAGCCTGGGCAACACAGGGAGACTCTGTCTCAAAAAAAAAAAAAAAAAAAAAAAAAAGAACTTAACCTCTGCATAAGAGATTTCTATGGGAGCACAGTGACAGAATATGGGATGTGCAAGGATGGATTCAGTGAATTGATGAAGCCAAACTGGGACATGAAGGAGGATGGCATCTGGAGAGCTGTAGAGGGGTGAAGGTGGTCCATGTGGGTGTGTAGGGATTGTGTACTTTCGATGTCCAAAGATCCTGCTGCTCTCCCTGCCTCTTTTCCTCACGTTTCTCTACCACTTTCCCCCACAGAACGTGAAGCTCTTGGAGCAATTTGTCTGCGCCCACACGGGTATCATCTTCTATGCTCCATACACAGGTTAGCCCATCATCCCTGCACCACCAGAGAGCTTTTCCTTGTGGCATGCCTTGTTTATGTAGTTGGCCAATAGGTATTTGTTCAGTGGCTCCTGCTTATAGCCTAAAAGGTCTGGCTGAACCTTTTGGAAATCTTGGCTTGCTGGGGGCTAAAGTAATTAAATGTGGACAAAAGAAAACAACAAATACAGCCAGGCGTGGTGGCTCATGCCTGTAATCCCAGCACTTTGGGAGGCCGAGGCGGCTGGATCACCTGAGGTTGGGAGTTCGAGACCAGCCTGACCAACATGGAGAAACCCTGTGGTGATGCATGCCTGTAATCCCAGCTACTCAGGAGGCGGAGGCAGGAGAGTCGCTTGAACCCAGGAGGCACAGGTTGTGGTGAGCCAACATTGCGCCATTGCACTCCAGCCTGGGCATCAAGTGAAGCTCCATCTCAAAAAAAAAAAAGGAAGAAGAAAAAAACAAGTACTTCTGTAAGCAAACTATCTAAATGTAGTTTTTAATTGATAAACAGTGATTAATTCCTTTCTATAGGGTCTTTTAACTTTTACAAAAGACTTCTCACAAATTGTCACATAAGTTATTTTATATCATTGTCAATTGGATTAGATTTTCCAAACTTGGAATCGTAAATTTAACAATTCAGAATTATATTTATTCCCTAACTACAGTCACAGGGCAAATCTGGCCCACTGTCACGTCCATTTGTTTTCATATTTTCTGCAATTGCTTCCATGCTACAATGGCAGAGTTGAGTAGCTGAGACAGAGACCACAGGACCTGCAGAGTTTAAAATATTTACTATATGACTCTAGACAGAAAAATTTTGCTAACCCCTGCTCTGAAGCAAGACAAATTTGCAGAGAATAATTTTTTGTTGTTTTTTTTTTTTGAGACGAAGTTTCACTCTTGTTGCCCAGGCTGGAGTGCAATGGTGCAATCTTGCCTCACCACAACCTCTGCCTCCCAAGTTCAAGTGATTCTCCTGCCTCAGCCCCCTGAGTAGCTGGGATTGCAGGCACATGCCACCATGTCCGGCAAATAGAGATGGGGTTTCTCCATGTTGGTCAGGCTGGTCTCGAACTCCGGATCTCAGGTGATCCAGCTGCCTTGGCCTTCCAAAGTGCTGGGATGACAGGCATGAGCCACCGTGCCCGGCAGAGACTAATCTTTGTTTTTGTTTTTTTTGGGGGGGTGTGGGTGGGGGGATGAAATCTCATTTACTCTGTCACCCAAGGCTGGAGTGCAGTGGCATGATCTTGGCTCACTGCCGTCTCCACCTCCTGGGTTCAAGCAGTTCTCCTGCCTCAGCCTCCCAAGTAGCTGGGATTACAGGCACGTGCCACTGTGCCTGGCTAATTTTTTTTGTATTTTTAGTAGAGACAGGGTTTCACCATTTTGGCCAGTCTGGTCTTGAACTCCTGACCTCAAGTGATCCTCCCACCTAAGCCTCCCAAAATGCTGGGATTATAGGCATGAGCCACCGTGCCTGGCCTTGCAGAGAATAATCTGAATTCACCATTGTTGGGGGTGGCAGTACAATCAGTGTTCAGTTTGTCAAGAGTTTCTTATAGTCAAGCTGTAAAGGCTGAAGGGACTATTATTGTTACTCTCTCAGATTGCCTTCCCCAACTCTGAAATCTCTTTTCCCTTTATTGAATCTTTGTGGATTGTTCAACTCAACCCTCTAATTAACCACACTTGCCCATTAAATTGTGTTCTCCCTGTCTTGGAGGTTTTACCATTAAATGGCTTCTCTATAGTGGCTAGACCCTCCTAAATCTTTATCCCAGCTCTCCAAAAGATGGGGGAGATTCTTTCCTTTGGGCAGATGGGGAAACTGAGGTCCATGGAGGGGTCAGGGGAAAGGGGTCATTAGGTAAAGCCAATCCTTCCCAATCTACCCCTCTGTCACCATATGGAAGCAGTTGTGTTCTATTATTTACTGTGCCTTAAAGAACAAGATATTTTTCTCCCCACAGGAGTCTGTGTGAAGCAGCACAAGCGGTTGACCCAGGCCATCCAGAAAGCCAGGGATCATGGTGAGCATGAGACGGGGCACACAGCAGTTTTGTTTAGGTATAAGGAAGATGACTTAGGGCTAGAAAATGGATATAAATGCTCACACCTGTTCAAGATGGTAGCACCCAGCATGTTCTTCCTGACGTTACATTGTCCCCTGTCCTTTCTCCTGAGTGTCTTACTTTATCATTGTCCTGTCTCCTTGTTCTTTGTCTTTCCATCCTTTTCCCTCCTATTTTACAACTGCTGGTCTCAATGCCTTAGGAAGTTCTTTATATAAATGTCTGGCCCTGGACTACATGGCACTGCTGCATAAGTTAGTAAAAAGTATACCCCTCTGCTAGGGCAGATGCAGCTTCATAGTCCTTGTTCAGCACTGCACAGCTTTGTAAGCAAGAGCCCCAGCAGTATGTCAGCCCACACTTGCCCTCTGGGCCGGTCACCTGTTTGCAGTATACAACATGCATAAATGTACCTGGTGGCTCTGACTGGTCCTTCCCTTTATAATCCTTTTTCTTACTTCATCTAAACCACCCTCCTCATTGCCTCTTAAATTTCTTTTCTTTTTTAATCCCTTAGGTCTCCTCATTTACCACATCCCCCAGGTTGAACCACGGGACCTTGACTTCAGTACCTCTCATGGGGCTGTGAGTGCTACTCCGCCAGCCCCCACCCTGGTCTCAGGTGACCCCTGGTACCCATGGTACAACTGGAAACAGCCACCGGAGAGAGAACTGTCTCGCCTTCGCCGGCTTTACCAGGGTCATCTCCAAGAAGAGAGTGGCCCCCCACCTGAGTCAATGCCCAAGATGCCCCCTAGAACACCAGCGGAAGCCTCCTCCACTGGGCAGACAGGCCCTCAGAGTGCTCTGTAGGAGCTGTAGACTGGGAAGAGAGGCCAGGCGTGGTGGCTCACTCCTGTAATCCCAGCACTTTGGGAAGCCAAGGTGGGCTGATCACTTGATCCCAGGAGTTTGAGACCAGCCTGGGCACCATGGTGAAACCTCGTCTTTACCAAAAAATACAAAAATTAGCTGGGTGTGGTGGTGCACACCTGTAGTCTCAACTATTGGGGAGGCTAAGGTAGGATCACTTGATCCCAGGAGGCGGAGGTTGCAGTGAGTTGCAGTCACACCCCTGCACTCCAGCCTGGGTGACAGCTAGACCCTGTCTCAAAAAAAAAAAAAAAGACTGGGAAGAGAGCTAGAGGGACTAGGAGATAATGTGTATGTAGGTTTATGTGATGGGATATCACCCTGAAGAGTTGTGTCTTTTGTGGCCAGTGACAAATCCAGGAAATGAATGTTGCTGATAGGGATAAATCTTGAGGCTGAGGGCGGGTGGTACAGATGTGTATGGGAAACCCCAACCCCTATATATTGTAAATAGATGGGCTGGGCTAAACATTGTTGCCGTTTCATACTTCTACCAACTCAGCTTTTACACAATAAAGCTCTACTGTCTCTGGTTTGCTTTGGGCTGTTTCCGATGAATGCCATTAGCGGGGGGTGGGCTGAGTGATGGTCTTTTCATATAAGCAATTGGGTGATGCTGTGGGGAGATAAGTGGTCAGGCTTAAGCCAGCCTTGCCTGTGACGCCTGGGACTAGAAGCCGGGGATGGGCAGCTGTGCCACTCTGTCAAGATGCCTTGTGGGCCCCCACTCCACAGCATGGCCCACTGTTCACTGAGGGGATAAAAGGTTGGACAGTGAGACACTGGGCCAAGGAAGACTACGTTGCCATGGCACTCACTGCCGTGGGATGCAGGGATGGAAAGGAGTGGCACTGCTAGGGGCACAGCTGGTTTGGCAAGAAAAACGGGGGCCCTGTCAGTTGCCAGGACGCTAGGGGGCAAGGTCTACAGGCGGGGCTCCTGGAAATAAAGACTCCGAGAGGCGGTGCGGCGAGAGGAGGGGCGGAAGTGACGTCGTGTGGGGCGGGTCCGACCGCGCACAATGGGCCATGGAGTTCCCGTTCGATGTGGACGCGCTGTTCCCGGAGCGGATCACGGTGCTGGACCAGCACCTGAGGCCCCCAGCCCGCCGACCCGGAACCACAACGCCGGCCCGGTGACAGCTCAAACCCACCCTCTGGCCCTTTTCTCCCGGTTCCTCTCCAAACCTGGTCCAGGCACCACGCCCCCTTCTCACTGACTAGTGATCGCCCCTTTTGATGTCCAGGCCTGCCTTTTTGGTGACCTCTGACCCTGGGCCTAGTGGGATTGATCAGCGCTTGGATCTGTGACCTTTCACCCCGGGCCCAAAATGTCCCAATCAAAGGATGTGGTTGACCTGGCCTTTCTGCTTCCTCACAATAACCTTAAGGGAGGAGGGAGTGTGCCACCTTGAAAGGTGTGACAGAAGTTTGGGTTTCAGAAGGGTGGGGTGGGAAATCAGATTGGAAGACTCCCAGGCAAAGGCAGGGAGCCTTCAGTGTTAAACCTGGGTTGGAGTTGTGGCCCAGGTTCCCAGGACTGACTGCCTAGGACCCGCTAATTTAGTGAGTATCTGACTCTTTATTTCTTCTCTTTCTCTAGTGTTGATCTACAGCAGCAAATTATGACCATTATAGATGAACTGGGCAAGGCTTCTGCCAAGGTACTGGAGAGTTTTTAGATGGAGTAAAGGGAGGACCTCTGTGGGGATGGTATATAAGGGAGGCCTGGGTCCTTCGGAGAGACTTGCAGAAAGTCTGACTTAATCTTCCCTGCAGGCCCAGAATCTTTCCGCTCCTATCACTAGTGCATCAAGGATGCAGAGTAACCGCCATGTTGTTTATATTCTCAAAGACAGTTCAGCCCGACCGTGAGTGCCACATGCTCTTCCATCCCATACTTAATTCCTTCCTTCCTCAGCCCTTCCCCCATCTTTGACTATCTCTTGCAGATAGATACCACTAGCCTGTTCATTATTTTCCCCGTCCTACAGGGCTGGAAAAGGAGCCATTATTGGTTTCATCAAAGTTGGATACAAGAAGCTCTTTGTACTGGTGAGTGTTATTGGATGCTAGGAGTTCGTATACCTTGGTTTCTGAGAACAAAAGTGCTGGAGGTTAGGGGGCAGCAGAGATGCCGGGGTTCCTAAAACATTTTTATTGTTTCTCTCTTAGGATGATCGTGAGGCTCATAATGAGGTAGAACCACTTTGCATCCTGGACTTTTACATCCATGAGTCTGTGCAACGCCATGGCCATGGGCGAGAACTCTTCCAGTATATGTTGCAGGTATCACTGACCTCTTCACTGGTTCATCCAAACTAGGGGCTCCTTTGCCCTGAGCCCTTCCAGAAGCCCTGCCTCCCACCCCCCATGTTCCCATGTCATTCTATTCCCTTCCCAGGCTTCTGGCTTCCTGTTGGCATGCTTTCCCCATACTTCCTCCTACCCTGAGTCTCCTTTTCCCTGCAGAAGGAGCGAGTGGAACCGCACCAACTGGCAATTGACCGACCCTCACAGAAGCTGCTGAAATTCCTGAATAAGCACTACAATCTGGAGACCACAGTCCCACAGGTTAGAGGTTTCAGAGAATAGATCCCCACTGAGCATTCCCATTGAATTTATTTGTTATTTATGGCAAAGAAGTAGTGACTTATTTCCTATCACATAGGTTTCATTTTCTACAACCAGGCTCTTTCTTTCTCTTGTGGTACCATCTCTCATCCTGTAGTGACTTCTTTCTCATCTATTTTGATTTTTTTTTTTGAGATGGAGTCTCGCCATGCTGCCCAGGCTGGAGTACAGTGGCGCAATCTCAGCTCACTGCAACCTCCACTTCCTGGTTTCAAGCGATTCTCCTGCTTCAGCCTCCTGAGTAGCTGGGACTACAGGCACCCACCACCACACCCAGCTAATTTTTATATCTTTAGTGGAGACGGAGTTACACCATACTGGCCAGGCTGGTCTCAAACTCCTGACCTTGTGATCTGCCCGCCTTGGCCTCCCAAAATGCTGGGATTACAGGTGTGAGCCACCGCATCTGACTTTTTTTTTTTTTTTTTCAAAGCAGAGTCTCCTGCTGTTGCCCAAGCTGGAGTGCTATGGCAGGATCTTGGCTCACTGCAGCCCAACCTTCTGGGCTCAAGCGATACTCCTCCCTTAGCCTCCTGAGTAGCTGAGACTACAGGCATGCACCACCATGCCTGGCTAATTTTTTATTTTTTGTAGAGATGAGGTCTCACTATGTTGCACTGGGTGGTCTTGAACTCCTGGCTCAAGAGATCCACCTGCCTCAGCCTCCCAAAGTGCTGGGATTATAGGCGTGAGCCACTGTACCCAGACTTATTTTGATTCTTTACCACAAGTTGTTTCCTACACCTAATTTTTCTTTTTTTTTTTTTTTGTGAGATGTAGCCTTGCTCCATCGTCCAGGCTGGATTGCAGTGGCACGATCACAGCTCACTGCAACCTCTGCCTCCGGGGTTCAAGTGATTCTTGTGCCTCAGCCTCCTGAGTAGTAGGGATTACAGGCATGCACCATCATGCCCAGCTAATTTTTGTATTTTTAGTAGAGATGGAGTTTCACCATGTTGGACAGACTGGTCCTGAACTCATGGCCTCAAGTGATGTGCCCACCTCAGCCTCCCAAAAGTGCTGGGATTACAGGTGTGAGCCACCGCACACAACCCTTATGCCTAATTTTTTTTTGAGACAGAGTCGCTCTGTCACCCAGGCTGGAGTGCAGTGGCACGATCTCAGCTCACTGCAAGCTCCGCCTCCCAGGTTCACGGCATTCTCCTGCCTCAGCCTCCCGAGTAGCTGGGACTACAGGTGCCCACCACCATACCCAGCTAATTTTTTGTATTTTTAGTAGAGATGGGGTTTCACCGTGTTAGCCAGGATGGTCTAGATCTCCTGACCTTGTGATCTGCCCGCCTCGGCCTCCCAAAGTGCTGGGATTACAGGCGTGAGCCACCGTGCCCGACCCCTTATGACTAATTTTCAACCCAAACATAGCCAGCTCATTTTCACCTCCTTGTTTTCACATAGTTCATTACTCATCTGGTCAGTCAGTATTTATTAAGGGTCCAGAATAATATGCATTCCCTGTCCTCATGGAGCTTTGGCCTAATATAGGGAAGGAAGTCTTGTTTATAACTAAGTGCAGCAAAATGTTACTAATGCTACCCATTCATCCAATAAACATTGAGTGCCTGGCAGTGTTCTGGGCACTAGGAATGGTTTACTCAATGAAACAGACAACAGCCTGGGCAACATAGCGAAACTCTGTCTCTACAAAAAATACAAAAAAAAATTAGCCAGGCGTGGTGGCACGAGCCTGTAGTCCCAGCTACTTGGGAGGCTGAAATGGGAGAATCGCTTGAGCCTGGGAGGCAGAGGTTGCAGTGAGCCAAGATCGCGCCACTGCATTATAGCCTGGGCAACAGAGAGAGACCCTGTCTCCAAAAATGAAAACAAAAACAGAAAAAAAGGCCAGGTGCGGTGCGGTGGCCCATGCCCGTAATCCCAGCACTTTGGGAGGCTGACGTGGGCGAATCACTTGAGGTCAGGAGTTTGAGACCAGCCTGGTCAACATGGTAAAACCCCGTCTCTATTAAAAATACAAAAATTAGCGGGGCATGATGGTGGGTACCTGTAATCCCAGCTACCCAGGAGGCTGAGGCAGGAGAATCACTTGAACCCGGGAGGCAGAGGTTGCAGTGAACCAAGATTGCACCACTGCACTCCAGCCTGAGCGACAGAGTGAGGACTCCATCTCAAAAAAGAAAAAGAAAAAGGGCCAGGCATGGTGGCTCATGCCTGTAATCCCCACACTTTGGGAGGCCAAGGCAGGAGGATCACCTGATATCAGGAGTTCGAGATCAGCATGTGGAACATAGTGAAACCCTGTCTCTACTAAAAATATAAAAATTAACTGGGCATGATGGCGTGCGCCTGTAATCCCAGCTACTCGGGAGGCTGAGGCAGGAGAATTGCTTGAACCCCGGAGGCAGAGGTTACAGTGAGCCGAGGTCCTGCTACAGCACTCCACCCTGGGGGACGAAGCGAGACTCTTGTCTCGGAACAAAAAAAAAAAACAGAAAAAGAAGGGAACAGACAAAAGTCCCTGTCTTAGTGGTGGAGCTTATATTCTAGCTGGAGAGACAAACAAACATAATAAACAATATGGTTAATAAGTGCTCTGGAAAAATGAGAGCAAGTAAGGGTTTGGGAGTACTCAAGTAAGGTGGGGATGGGAGTATGTGGGATTGCAGGTTGAAAGGGGATCATCACTGAGAAAGTGTCATTTGAGCAATAACTGAAAGGAAGTAAGAGTAAAAACTGGCCGGGCACGGTGGCTCATGCCTGTAATCCCAGCACTTTGGGAGGCCGAGGCGCGCGGATCACGAGGTCAGGAGATCTAGACCATCCTGGCTAACATGGTGAAACCCTGTCTCCACTAAAAAAAATACAAAAAAATTAGCTGGGTGCCTGTAGTCCCAGCTACTCGGGAGGCTGAGGCAGGAGAATGGCGTGAACCCGGGAGGCAGAGCTTGCAGTGAGCCGAGATCGCGCCACTGCACTCCAGCCTGGGTGACAGAGCGAGACTCCATCTCAAAAAAAAAGAATAAAAACCAAGGCTGGGCGTGGTGACTTACATCTGCAATCCTAGTACTTAGGGAGGCCGAGGTGGGTGGATCACTTGAGCCCAGGAGTTCGAGACTAGCCTAGGCAACATGGTGAAACCCCATCTCTACAAAAAACACAAAAATTAGCCAGGTGTAGTGGCACGCACCTGTGGTCCCAGCTACTTGGGGGTCTGAGGCAGGAGGATTGCTTAAGCCCAGGAGGTCGAAGCTGCAGTGAGCCGAGATGGTACCACTGCACTGCAGCCTGGGTAACAACGTGAGACTGTCTCAAAACAAACAAACAAAAAAAAAGAGTAAGAGCCAAGAAATATCTGGAGAGAGAGCATCCCAGACAGAAGGTACCACCAGTGTATGGCCGTGAGGTGGGAGTGTGCCTGAAAGAGCAAATTGGCTGTGTCCAGAGCAGCATGAGTCAGCGGAGGAGTATGGTAGGAGATGAGACCAGAGAGGTAATGCGGAGGAGGGGCCTTATAGGCTACTGCAAAGACTGGCTTTTATTTTAAGTAAAAAATAAGATCAGGCCAGGGGTGGCGACTCACACCTGTAATCCCAGCACTTTGGGAGGCCGAGGTAGGTGGATCACCTGAGGTCTCTACTGAAAATACCAAAATTAGCTGGGTGTGATGGCAGGTGCCTGTAATCCCAGCTGTTTGGGAGTCTGAGGCAGGAGAATCACTAGAACCGGGAGGCGGAGGTTGCAGTGAGCCGCTGAAATTGTACCACTGCACTCCTGCCTGGGCGACAGAGCAAGACTCCTTCTTAAAAAAAAAAAAAAAAAAAAATAGCGCCAGGTGTGGTATCTCATTCCTGTAATCCCAGCATTTTGGGAGGCCCAGGCAGGTGGATCACAAGGTCAGGAGTTCGAGACCAGCCTGGCCATATGGTGAAACCCCATCTCTACTAAAAATACAAAAATTAGCCGGGTGTGGTGGCGGGCACCTGTAGCCCCAGCTACTTGGGAGGCTGAGATAGAAGAATCGCTTGAACCTGGGAGGCAGAGGTTGCAGTGAGCTGAGATCGCACTACTGCACTCCAGCCTGGATAACAGAACGAGACTCCATCAAAGAAAAAAGAAAAAGATCATTTTGGCTGTGATCTTGATTTTTTCCTTTTTAACAAGATCACTTTGGCTGTTAAGAACAGGCAATAGCCGGGCACAGTGGCTCACACCTGTAATCCTAGCACTTTGGGAGGCCGAGGCAGGTGGATTGCCTGAGGACTTCAAGACCAGTCTGGCTAACATGGTGAAACCCCATCTCTACTAAAAATAGAAAAAAAAATTAGCCAGGTGTGGTGGTGCTCGCCTGTAATCCCAGCTACTCGGGAGACTGAGGCAGGGGAATTGCTTGAATCAGGGAGGTAGAGGTTGCAGTGAGCTGAGATTGTGCCACTGCACTGCACTCTAGCCTGGTGACAGAGTAAGACCCCATATCAAAAAAAAAAAAAAATGGAAACGGCAATAAGGGAGCCAGAGTAGAAGCAAGTAGACTAATTAGGCAGCAACAATCCTGGCGAAAAATGGTGGTGGCTCAGACCAAGGTGGTAGCAGTAGTGATGGTAAAGAGTGGTCAAATTTTAAATATTTTGAAGGTAAAGCAAGTAAGATTTCCTGACAGATTGTATGTGGAGAAAGAGGACTTTAGGACAATGCCAAAGCCTGAGCAGCTGGAAGAATGAAGTTGCTTTAACTGAGATGGTAGGTAGACCAGCTTTGGGGGAAATACTAGGAGTACATTTTTAATATGTTAATTGGAGATGTCTGTGATATGTCCAGGTTTGAGTAGACAGTTGGATACTTCCCTGGAGATCAGGGAGGAGGTTTGGGGAGGAGAGTTTTCAGCATACATCTGGTATCTAAAGCCAACAGACAGGATGCGATCACCATAGAAAGATTATAGATAGAGAAGCTGCCCCTTTGGGCCCTCTTTAAGAAGTGAGGACCCCCAACTGGCTGCTCTGAAAAGCCATCTTTGCATTGTTCCTGGTTCGGTGTCCTGCTCACCACAGCCACCTCCGCCATGCACTTCCTCTGCTGCCTCAGAGTCTGGCAGCTTAATCGACATAGTCCCCAAACTCTCACTTTCTTCTTAATCCCTTGCATCGGATCACCGCTGTGCCCCACCATGTCAGAGGCAGTTGTGGACACAAGCTCCGTGATCACCACCAAGGACTTCAAGGAGAAGTTGTGGAGGAGGCAGAAAGTGGAAGAGACGCCCATGCTAACGGGAACGCTAATGAGGAAAATGGGGAGCAGGAGGCTGACAACGAGGTAGATGAAGAAGAGGAACAGGGTGGGGAGAAAGAGGAGAAGGAAGAGGAAGGTGATGGTGAAGAAAAGAACGGAGATGAAAACGAAGCAGCTGAGGCGGTATGGACAAATGGGCAGCTGATGATGATGAAGATGACGATGTTGATACCAAGCAGCAGAAGGCCAGTGAGGATGATTAGACAGCAAAAAAAGAAAAGTTAAACTTTAAATTAAGGCCACCGTGACCTATTCACCCTCCACTTCCCATCTCAGAATCTAAACATGGTTGCCCTCGAGAGGCCTGCTTGCCCTCCACAGACAGTGCCACTGCAGATGACAGGCACTCACCACCACCCAACCCAAACCAGAGAATTTGCAACAGAGGAGGAAAAAAGAACCAAAACTTCCAAGGTCTTGCTCTTTTAAAAGTACTTTAAAAAGGAAGTTTGTTTGTATTTTTTATTTACATTTTATATTTTTGTACATATTGTTAGGGTCATTTTTTTTTTCTTTGAGACGGAGTCTAGCTCTGTCGCCAGGCTCAAGTGCAGTGGTGCGATCTTGGCTCACCGCAAGCTCCACCTCCTGGGTTCAAGTGATTCTCCTGCCTCAGCCTCCTGAGTAGCTGGGATTACAGGCGCCCGCCACCACACCCAGCTAATTTTTGTATTTTTAGCAGAGACAGGCTTTCACCAGGTTGGCCAGGATGGTTTCTATCTCCTGACCTTGTGATCCACCTACCTCGGCCTCCCAAAGTGCTCGAATTACAGGCGTGAGCCACCGGCGCCCAGCCAGGTTCAGTCATTTTTAATGATCTCAGATGACCAAGCCAGCCTTTGGAGGGTTCTCTGTCTTACTTCTGACTTTACTTGTGGTGTGACCATATTCATTATAATCTCAAAGGAGGAAAAAAAAAAAAAAAAAAAACCTTGTTTAAAAAAAAAAAAAAAGCCTGGGCGCGGTGGCTCGCGCCTGTAATCCCAGCACTTTGGGAGGCCGAGGTGGGTGGATCACGAGGTCAGAAGATCGAGACCATCCTGGCTAACATGGTGAAACCCCCTGTCTACTAAAAATACAAAAAATTAGCCAGGCGTGGTGGCGGGAGCCTGTAGTCCCAGCTACTTGGGAGGCTGAGGCAGGAGAATGGCGTGAACCCGGGAGGCAGAGCTTGCAGTGAGCCAAGATTGTGCCACTGCACTCCAGCCTGGGCAACAGAGCGAGACTACATCTCAAAAACAACAACAACAACAAAAAGTCTCGTTCTGAGCATTCCAGTAGCTTCTTTAGTGTATGTAGTTAGTTGTACCATAAGTAGTTGGTTTGTGTGAGATGGTTAAAAAGGCCAAAGATAAAATGTTTCATTTATTTGCCTTTTTTGTCTATGAAATGGCTGCTTATTTATTTAGGCCTATTTGATGTATGTGTGAAACAATATTGTGCAACAATAAACCCAAATTTTATTTTGCTGAGTTGTTCTAACAGCAACAAAAAGAAGTTAAGGAAGAGAAGAAGACCAGCAAATGCAACCACAGAGTGACTAGTGAAGTAGATGAAAACTGAGGCCGGGTGTGGTGGCTCACACCTGTAATCCCAGCACTTTGGGAGGCCGAGTCGGGTGGATCACCTGAGGTCAGGAGTTCAAGACCAACATGGTGAAACCCCATCTCTACAAAAAATACAAAATTAGCCAGGCGAGGTGGCTCATGCCTGTAATCCCAGCTACTTGGGAGGCTGAGGCAGGACAATCACTTGAATCTGGGAGGTGGAGGTTGCAGTAAGCCGAGATCATGCCATTGCACTCCAGCCTGGGCAACAAAGCGAAACTCCATCTCAAAAAAAAAAAAAAAGAAAAGAAAACTGAAAAGTAAGGTGACCTCAAAGGCCACTGAAGAAAGTGTTTCCAGGAGGAAGGAATGGTTTACTTGGTCAAATGCTGCTGATCAAGGAGCAAAGAGGTCTGAGAAGTTACCATTGGATTTATCTGCGTTAGGCCATTGGTGATCTTAATGAGCAGTTTTGGTGCAGCGGTGTTTGGAAGCCTGGATGCAGTGGGTCTTGTAGACTGAGAAGCTAGGAACACAGCAAGAATAAGCTACTCTTTTAAATCCTGCTTTAATGGGAATAGAAATAGAGCAAGAGCTGGAGAGTGAAGTGGATCAAAAGAGTTGATCTTTTGCAGATGGGAGAACAAATAGCATTAGAATGATTCAGTAGAGAGAAAATATTATTATGTCAGAGAAAGTGGGGAGAACTGTTGAAGTGATGTCATTGAATGGGCGGCGGGGGCGTTGAGATTTGGTTGACAAGTTAGCCTTGGATAGGAACATGGACAGTTAATCCACTGTAACATGATTTGATAGATGTGATTACAGAGGAGGCATAAGGACATGGATTTGAGTGCTATCTTGGGCTGGGGGTTGGGTAAAGAAAGATGACATGTCTAATCTTGAAAGGCAAGTGTTTGTCAGGTGGACAAAAGGCTAAAGTGCATTTCATGTAGAGGAACAGGCATGAGCAAAGGCAGAAAGGTATTAAACCACCTTTCAGGCCAGGCGTGGTGGCTCACACCTGTAATCCCAGCACTTTGGGAGGCCAAGGTAGGCGGATCACAAGGTCAGGAGATCGAGACCATCCTGGCTAACACGGTAAAACCCCGTCTCTACTAAAAATACAAAAAAAATTAGCTGGGCGTGGTGGCAGGCGCCTGTAGTCCCAGCTAATCAGGAGGCTGAGGCAGGAGAATGGCGTGAACCCAGGAGGCGGAGCTTGCAGTGAGCCCAGATCATGCCACTGCACTCCAGCCTGGGCGACAGAGCAAGACACTGTCTCAAAAAAAATAAATAAATAAATAAAAATAAACCACCTTTCAGGACACTACAAGCAGTGTGGTGTGGTTGGAGTGCTGGGCATGTGCTTGTTGGGGGGTGGGGGTGATGAGGATGGGCTGGTAGACATTACAACAAGGTCAAGGCAAGGGATAGGCAGGGTCTTCCTACAGTATATTTTTCCATTAAGAGGCAACAGAGAGCAGTGGAAGGAGCACAGTTTTTTTTTGTTTGTTTGTTTGTATTTTGAGATGGAGTCTCAGTCTGTCGCCCAGGCTGGAGTGCAGTGGCACAATCTCAGCTCACTGGAACCTCTGCCTCCTGAGTCCAAGCAATTCTCTTGCCTCAGCCTCCTGAGTAGCTGGGATTAGAGGCGCCCACCACCACACCTGGCTAATTTTTGTGTTGATGAGGTTTCACCATGTTGGCCAGACGTCTCGAACTTCTGACCTCAAGTGATCCGCCCACCTCGGTCTCCCAAAGTGCTACGATTACAGCCGTGAGCCACCATACCCGGTCCTGGAGCACAGTATTCGATATGAAACACATTACCCAGTTAACATGTAAGGCCAGAGCAGTATAGAGTGTAAATAATAATTCACATTTCATGGGCTCTATGTGGTATCTATATGCATCATCTCAGTGGATTCTTGCACATCTTTTTGAGGTAGGTACTATTATTAAACCTATTTTGGGTTTATACAAATTAATGACTTAACCAAATTCACACAGCCAGTAAATAGTAGAGTCCACATTTGAACCCATAGCCATTTGCACCCAGTGAACTTTTTTTTTTTTTTTCTTTTTGAGGCAAGGTCTTGCTCTGTTGCCTAGGCTGGAGTGCAGTGGCACGATCACGGCTCACTGCAGTCTCTACCTCCTAGGCTCAAGAGATCTTCCCTACCAGCCTGGCCAACATGGCGAAACCCCATCTCTATTAAAAATACAAAAATAAGCCGGGCGTGGTGGCATGTGCCTGTAATCCCAGCTACTCAGGAGGCTGAGACAGGAGAAGAGCTTGAACCTGGGAGGTGGAAGTTGCAGGGAGCCGAGATGACACCATTGCACTCCAGCATGGGCAACAGAGTGAGATTCCATGTTAAAAAAAAAAAAAGGCCGGACGCATTGGCTCGCGCCTGTAACCCCAGCACTTTGGAAGGCCAAGGCGGGCGGATCACGAGGTCAAGAGATCAAGACCATCCTGGCCAACATGGTGAAACCCTGTCTCTACTGAAAATACAAAAATTAGCTGGGCATGGTGGCGCATGCCTGTAGTCCCAGCTGCTCCGGAGGCTGAGGCAGGAGAATCGCTTGAACTCAGGAGGTGGAGGTTGCAGTGAGCTGAGATCTTGCCACTGAAGTCCAGCCTGGCAACAGAGCGAGACTCCATCTCAAAAAAGATCTTCCCACCTCAACCTCCCAAGTAGTTGGGACTACAGGCGCCCACCACTATGGCTGGCTGATTTTTTGTATTTTTAGTAGAGACGGGGTTTCACCGTGTTAGCCAGGGTGGTCTCGATCTCCTGACCTCGTGATCGGCCCGCCTCGGCCTCCCAAAGTGCTGGGATTACAGGCTTGAGCCACTGGGCCCGGCCCACGCCTGGCTAATTTTTAAAAATATTTTTGTAGAGATGAGGTCTTGCTATATTGCCCAGGCTGGTCTTGAACTCCTGGGCTCAAGCTATCCACATGAGCCACCATGCCCAGCCCCCATTAAACTTTTTTTTTTGAGATGGAGTCTCACTCTGTCACCCAGGCTGAAGTACAGTGGTGCAATCTCAGCTCACTACAGCCTCTCCCTCCTGGGGTCAATGGATTCTCCTGCCTCAGCCTCCTGAGTAGCTAGGATTACAGGCGCACGTCACCACACCCAGCTAATTTTTGTAT
This sequence comes from Homo sapiens, assembly GCF_000001405.40. Classification (NCBI taxonomy): domain Eukaryota; kingdom Metazoa; phylum Chordata; class Mammalia; order Primates; family Hominidae; genus Homo; species Homo sapiens. The sequence goes on from NT_167245.2 coordinate 1,894,298, forward strand.
TTTTAGTAGAGACAGGGTCTCGAACTCCTGACCTCAAGTGATCCACCCGCCTTGGCCTCCCAAATTGTTGGGATTACAGGCGTGATCCACCACGCCTGGCCCCCGAGTTTTTTTTTTTTTTTTGAGACGGAGTCTCTCTCTGTCGCCCAGGCTGGAGTGCAGTGTTGCCATCTCGGCTCACTGCAAGCTCTCCTCTTGAGTAAACTCTTAATGGCTACACTATTTTCCTGGCTAAAACACTGCAGCTGGAATCAGAAGTCTGAAAGTTGAGGCCCAGCCCTGCCACTTGTAGCTACTTGGCATTGGCCAAGCGAAGCCATGTCTCCAAGGCTGTATTTCCCCCAACCTTCTTTCAAATAGTGACTTCCAGGATTGTGAAGGCCAAATTAAATGTGAAAATATAATGAAGTAACTCTAAAATTAATAGTTACTAGTTATCAAAGTAGCATCCTGGCCTCCAGCATGTCTTCCCCTGACTTTCCCCACCCCTTGGAACCCTGCTGAATTTTTTATTTATTTATTTATCCTTTGAGACGGAGTCTCATTCTCTTGCCCAGGCTGGAGTGCAGTGGCACGATCTCAGCTCACTGCAACCTCCGCCTCCTGGGTTCAAGCGACTCTCCTGCCTCAGCCTCCCAAGTAGCTAGGATTACAGGTGCACACTGCCATGCCTGGCTAATTTTTTGTATTTATAATAGACACAGGGTTTCACCATCTTGGCCAGACCGGTCTTGAACTCCTGACCTCAAGTGATGCCTGCCACAGCCTCCCAAAGTGCTGGGATTACAGGTGTGAGCCACTGAACCTGGACTTTAGCACCTTTTTATGTGCTTATTGGCCATTTGTGTATCTTCTTTAGAGAAAAGTTTATACAAGTCCTTTGTCTGTTCTTAAATTGTGTTCTTTTTTGTTCTGAGAGTTTTTCATATATTCTAGATAGAACGCACTTATCAGATGTATGACTTGCAAACATTTTCTCCCATTCTGTAGATTGTCTTTTCACTTTCTTTCTTTTTTTTTTTTTTTGAGACGGAGTCTTGCTCCATCGCCCAGGCTGGAGTGCAGTGGCACGATCTCAGCTCACTGCAAGCTCTGCCTCCCGGGTTCACGCCATTCTGCTGCCTCAGCCTCCCGAGTAGCTGGGACTACAGGCGCCCGCCACCACATCCGGCTAATTTTTTTGTATTTTTAGTAGAGATGGGGTTTCACCATGTTAGCCAGGATGGTCTCGATCTCCTGACCTCATGATCCGCCTGCCTCGGCCTCCCAAAGTGCTGGGATTACAGGCGTGAGCCACCGCACCTGACCTTTACTGTACCTTTTCTGTGTTGAGGTATGTTTAGATACATCAGCTGAACCATTATGTTAGAATTGCCTACAGCTGGCTGAGCATGGTGGCTCACGTCTATAATCCCAGGACTTTTGGAGGCTGAGGCAGAAGGATCACATGAGCCCTGGAGTTTGAGACTGGCCTGGGCATCATAGTGAGACCCCCATCTCTACAAAAAGTTAAAAAAAAATTAGTAGCCAGATGTGGTGGCATGCACCTGTGGTCCTAGCTACTTGGGAGGCTGAGGTGGGAGGATCATTTAAGCCCAGGTTGATGCTGCAGTGAGCTGTGATGGCACCACTGCACTCCAGCCTAGGCAACAGAGCGAGACTCTGCCTCTCAAAAAAAAAAAAAAATTGCCTACAGCATTCAGTACAGTAACATGCTGTACAGGTTTGTAGCCTAGGAGCAATAGGCTGTATGATATAGTCTGGGTGTGTTGTAGGCTATAGTGTCTAGGTTTGTGTAAGTACACTCTGTGATGTTCACACAATGAAATCACCCAATGACGTATTTCTCAGAATGTATCCCCATCGTTAAGTGATGCATGATTGTATTTTGTTTGTTTCATCTTCCAGGTGAACAACTTTGTGATCTTTGAAGGCTTCTTTGCCCATCAACATCGTAAGTTTTTGCATTTTGTTGGTCACGTAGTCGGGGTGAGGGAAAGGAAAGAGCTGGACTCTTGGTCCTGCCGACCCCTCACTGAGGGGCCCCGCCGCTTCCTTCCTCACAGGGCCCCCTGCTCCCTCTCTGAGGGCAACTCGACACTCTCGTGCTGCTGCAGTCGATCCCACGCCCGCTGGTAAAGCCTGTATTGAAGGGGTGGAACTGTAGTGCAGTGATGGCTACTTACTCTAGATGCCACGGGGTACAGTGCCATCTGTGGGCAATTTTGGAAAATTCTAAAGCAACCCAAGTCTCCAGCAGTCATGACTGTTTGCCTTTGCCCTCATGGGAGCTCAGTGCATTTTATATTTGGCAAGACTTTTAACTAAGCAAGCTCATTGGGAGCCTGTTTGACAGCTGATATCAATGGACCCTCTTGCCAGTTCAGGTCCGTCAACATAGGCCAGAGTCAGGCTCCTTTGTAAACCCCAGGCTTCTGTTAGCCAGTGAGGGACAGGCTGGTGCAAACAGCCCTTCCATTTGCAGTCACAGAATAGTGACACAAATGGCCCAAAATTTAAATGTTACTTTTAGAAGATAACACTCAGAGTTTATAACATTTCCAACCAGATAATGAAATTGATATGGAGAAACCAAACCTCAGAGGCACTAAAATGCTGTCCAGATTCCCCATCCCATATACACACACACACACACACACACACACACAAACACACTTACTGACAGTCTGAGCCCCACTCCTTCCTCTTCCTCACCACCTCCACCTTACCAACTTCTGACAGCTGTACAGTGCTTGCTTGCACAGAAGAGCCCCCTTCCTGAGCTGGCTCTGTGGCCAGGAAAGGATGTAACCACCATCCAAACAGCAGTCTGTAACCAGCTATGAGCATCACAGTGTCAGGCACTGAGAGGCACCTCAACTCGCTTTGGTTTCCAAGGCTTCTCCCATTTAGCTTGTTCAGAACCACAGGCTGTGAGAGGGACTGAGGGCCAACAAGGATGGTGAGGTCTCAGGCCTGCAGGGGAGGGTGCTGTGGATAAAGCTTAAGTGAATTTGCTGAGAAGTCTTTCATTTGCCACACATACATGATGGAGAATCTCTTGAGAGGGAAAGCCGGGAGCAAGTAGAGAAGTGAGGAGGGGGAGGCTGAACTTTGGACATTACATCAGCCTCCTGCTTACTCTGATAGCTCCCTTTCAGATGCCCATATTTATTTTCTTTTTTTTTTTTAACCTAATAAAACTTCAGTCTCTTCCCATTTTCGTATAGGAAGGAGAGATTGTGCCCTCCTTCCAAACCTCCCCTGACCTCTCCAGAGCAATTCCTGATTAACCAAGGGCTTTGTCCATCTCATCCAGAGGAACCCAGGGTCCTCGTTGGCCCGGCTGGGACCATTCCACTGCCCCAGAATACCAGGGGGCCATGACAGCACCCACTGACAGTAAGAGCTCACTTCCCTTGGCTGCCCTTCTCCTGCATCTCCCAGGCCCCCAGAGTCTCCCCTTCGATCTTTCTCCCTAGCTCTGTGTTTGGCCTACTCCTTCTGGCTTTCCTCAACAGTGTTCCACATTCCCCTCAAATTCCCTTTTGGTGTGCTGGCATTGCCATGGTGCTGCTCCTGCAAGTTCTCAGGAGGAACTGTGGTGTCAGGGAGCAGAGGTTTGGGGTTGGGGTATAGTGGCTGGGAGGAGGGGTGCAAAGTATGTCTCCTAACGCTTACCCTGCCTATGTCCCCTCCACTGCCAGCTCCAGCAAGGAAGCTGCCACCCAAGAGAGCAGAGGGAGACATCAAGCCATACTCCTCTAGTGACCGAGAATGTAAGAGGGGCAAGGGTCGGGTGTCTGGGCCTGGGGTACCTTAACACAAGGGAAGAGAATGCTCAGGGGACCCAGGGAAAGGATTCGTTCTCTCTAAAGACTCAGATTTCTTGGGCTGGGCATGGTGGCTCATGCCTGTAATCCCAGCACTTTGAGAGGCTAAGGCAGGCAGATCGCCTGAGTCCAGGGGTTCAAGACCAGCCTGGCCAACATGGTGAAACCCCGTCTCTACTAAAAATACAAAAATTAGCTGGGCACGGTGGCACGTGCCTGTAATCCCAGCTACTTGGGAGGCTGAGGCAGGAGAATGGCTTGAACCCAGGAGGCGGAAGTTGCAGTGAGCCAAGATCGTGCCACTGCACTCCAGCTTGGGTGACAGAGTGAGACTCCGTCTCAAAAAAGAAAAAAAAAAAAAAGAAAGACTCAGATTTCTCTTTTTTTCTACCAAAACCTTTGCTGTCATGACTCTCTTCCTTTTTTCTTCTTTTTCTGTCTTGCTCTTCATTCTCCCTGTCCCCAGTTCTGAAGGTAGCTGTGGAGCCTCCTTGGCCCCTAAACAGGGCCCCTCGCCGCGCCACACCTCCAGCCCACCCACCCCCCCGCTCCAGCAGCCTGGGAAACTCACCAGAACGAGGTCCCCTCCGCCCCTTTGTGCCAGAGCAGGAGCTGCTGCGTTCCTTGCGCCTCTGCCCCCCACACCCTACCGCCCGCCTTCTGTTGGCTGCTGACCCTGGGGGCAGCCCAGCTCAACGTCGTCGCACCAGGTAATAGGAGTTGAAGGGCTAAGGAGCCTCACAGCTATAAAAGAGGATGTTAGAAATGGCAAAGGGCAATTTGAATCCATCAGAGAGATGGATCAATAAGATGGGTGGCTTGGGGGGGGTCCTGAAACCTTTCAAGAAAAATATTTGTGCAAGTGATCTGGGAAAAAAATGCAGTGAAGGAGCAGAATAGGACCTTATATGGAGCCTAGGGACCCTGGCTTTAATGTGAGAGTTATGTGGAATGGTAGGAAGAACACCGAGATCCATCGAGTTGGGGGAACAGAGCCTTCTAAGATTGGGAAAATCTTCGCTTAATACTTGCTGGGGAAGGGGCAGTGTCTGACAGAGAGTGGGAAGCCACTGGCTTGTGTGCCAAGAGTCCATCGCAGCAGGCAGGGAGTGGGCATTTCCTTTATTTCTCTCCCTTTCTCTTCACCTCTGACTTCTCTGTTTTTCTCTCCCCCGCCCCCCGCCATTTCCCATCTCCCTTCCTCCCATCCATAACATCCTTCCACAGCTCCCTTCCCCGCTCTGAGGAGAGTCGATACTAACAGCTACCCTCTCCCTGCCCTGGGAGACCTGGGGTGGGCAGGGAACCCCTCCCTGAGAACCTCAGACCCACTCTTCCATTGCATCCTGTAGGACCCAGTGGAACCTGACAGAGCCCATAGGATTCCCTCTTCTACTTTCTTAGACAGCAGGGATGTCAGGGTCTCAAACTGCCTAACACTTTGTAGCTTTTCTTAACACAAAAGCACCCCTTCTCTCCTAACTTGGGCTCTGAATACTTTCCCAACAGGAAGTCTGATCTGTTGCCAGACTTCTTGGTTAGATGGCTCATACATTTATCTAGAGAAGCACACTCTTGCTTGCTGTCAAACTTTAGAACACCATGGAAGGTCTAAGGGCATCCTGTGCCAGGGAAACTTTTTAAGGAATTTTATCTATGGGATAAACCCCATATTCCCTCTAGTGTCTACTGGTGGCTCTAATACTGCTTTGTGCTGCCTGCCACACTTGCCCTTTGAGCCTGCGAATGGCCGCTAGTGAGCAAGCTCTGCTTCAGAGCAGTCTAGTTAGGTAGAACAGGGACTTACCAGCTTCCCAAAGGGATCTACTCACCATTGCCAAACTCTTCATTTCCACATTTTGTGTAGGTGTCAGGGAACCCCAAACTGGTGTTGCTTTGGGGTCTCTAAAGGAGATTGGCTGACACCACCATTTCCCCCAGATCCAGATTCTCTGAGGGAGGTTGTTTCTTGAGAGTAGATCCAGAGTGTCAAGGATCTGTTAGATCCTGGAATCCCTTCTTGCATCCATCCCTCCCTGGTAGCTAGGTCCCGATATACTCCTGTCTTGTGAGATTGTCGAGATGAGATGGGGGACCACTCTTCCTCTGTCCTTCCTCTCTCCTTTCCTCCATAGCAAGGACGACCTTCCCTGCTCCATGCCCAGAGTATAGCTAGATCCCTTCCCCTCCCTACCCTCTGAATGTGTGCTAGATCAGGTGCCCCACTGTGTTTCCTGAAATCCTTGGGAGCCGGATCTCCCCATCTCCCCTACTCACTCTTCCCTTTTCTTCTCTCAGTGTTGTCTGAATAAAGTGTGAAATCTTTTGTGTTTTCTAAATTGACATTTTCAATGAAAAAAAGAATCACAAAAAAAAAAGTTGTCAGCCTCATTTGTGCGTCATCCCTTATTTTCCTGGGATCTCAGGACCTCTGTCCCTCTCATTTCTCACTTCTGAGATCTGCACATCTTTTACCCAGGAGCCTCAGAGCTCCTGAGTCTGGTGTCTGCCTATCCCCATCTTCACTGTTAGTCCTCCTGCAGATTCTGTGTCTCCTTTCATGTAGGTGCTGGATCCCTGTGTGTGGGCTTCCGTATCTACTCCCTCATTCCCTCCAGGAACCTCCAGCTCTCCCCAGTGACTTCTACCCTTTACTCTGGGCGTGCCTTTGCCAAGATGTCAAAGCTTACCAACATCTCTGGATCCACTAATTACCTCCTGCCTCCTGTATTCGTCTTCCCACTCTGATTACCTGACGTCTGCTCCACTAAACCGCTGGATCTCTCTCAAGACAAACCCTTACCTCCATTGAGAGTGCAACACAGTCTGTCACCCTATTTACAGAGGCCCCCTTCCTTTTCCTCCTAAATTCAAAATTCAGCCTTGTCACTTCCTATTTCCCTCTGGTCTAAGGAATCTTTTTTTTTTTTTTTGAGATGGAGTCTTGCTCTGTCGCCAGGCTGGAGTGCAGTGGCACAATCTCAGCTCACTGCAACCTCCGCCTCCTGGGTTCAAGCGATTCTCCTGCCTTAGCCTCCCAAGTAGCTGGGATTACAGAAGTGCACCACCGTGCCCAGCTAGTTTGTGTATTTTTAGTAGAGACGGGGTTTCACCATGTTGGCCAGGTTGGTCTCGATCTCCTGATCACGTGATCTGCCCGTCTTGGCCTCCCAAAGTGCTGGGATTACAAGCCTGAGCCACCGCGCCCAGCCTGGTCTAAGGAATCTTATAGTTAAGGTAACCCTGTTTTCCAAACCAAACACCAGAGTACCCGATCCAACACATTTTTGACCACATGTGAGTCTGTTCTTCTGACATGATTTGGATCACACCTAGCCATAGATTTAACACATTACCTCAACTAGAAAGAATAGAGCAATAAATCAGAAGCACTCCAGAAAATCTTGGGTATAAAATGAACTTCCCCCGCCCTTTTCTGGGGCACAGCTTTGATTAAAACCTGTTAGGAATGATAATTACCCCCTTCTCTTTGTTCCTGTGCTATTCCTTTTACTCCTCTCCTCTGATTCCTCCATACCCACCCATCTTTCATCCAGTAGCCTCCTCCCCATCATCTCCCATTTCTTCTACAGGGGGACTCCCCCAGGTCTGGTAGCCCAAAGCTGCTGCTACAGCCGCCATGGGGGGGTGAATTCCTCATCCCCCAATACAGGTAAGTATTCACTCCTCCCTACCCTCAAATCAAGTAGGCCACATTCACTGTCTACTCCTGCCTTCCCATTCACATGCCTGATATTTCCACAGGCAACCAAGACTCCAAGCAGGGAGAACAGGAAACAAAGAATAGGTGAGGTCTAAACCCCTCCCCTAACAGCCTCCCACCACCATCTGACTCCCTTCCTAACATCATTCTCAGTCACTTCCTACTCTTAAATCTTATTGTATGAACTGGACACCAGCTCCTCCCACAATTCCTTCTACCTTACATCCTGCAAGCCCCTTTCCCCCACAGGTTCAACTCTGGTACTTCCCTTTGGAATACGGATTCTCTGAGAGGTTTTAAATTTGGACATAGCACTAATGGTTCCAGCTTCATACCCATCATGTGTCCTACATTAAAACCTGGCCCGAGACCTTGAAGAGTCTGTAATCTTAATTTCCTCTTTAGTATTCCTATAACCCACTCTCCATCTCCCCACCTACCAGGTCTGCCAGTGAGGAGCAGGCCTTGTCACAGGATGGGTCTGGGGAGAAGCCCATGCACACAGCTCCTCCACAGGCCCCGGCCCCGCCAGCCCAGTCCTGGACAGTGGGTGGGGACATACTCAACGCCAGGTTCATTCGAAACCTGCAGGAACGTCGCAGCACCAGGCCTTGGTGACCGCAGCCCCGTCAAACATCTTCAAAGTATTATTTCTCCCTCACTACAGGAAAGAGCCAAAGCCCAACCCTCATAATAGATGGATACATTCATTCATTCATTCATTCAGCAGGCTTATCAGATTCAAGTCATTTGTATCTTTTAACCAGACCAATAAAAGTATTTATTTTTATCACAAGAGCTGTTGAAAAATTTGACTCATTATTTCAGCCGCCTCACCCCTCACTGTCGTTGCACCCATTCAGCCTTCAGCCCTGTTTTTGCTCAGCTTTTTGCTCAAAGGCCTCAGCTGTGAATACAGCGCTTGGGGGGGCGGGGGAGGCTGTAACTTGCGCAAGCGCACTCAGGCAGTCTCCGAGCCCGCGGGCGCAGGCGCGCTTACAGCCGACAGAGCGCTTCAGCCGCTTCCCTCGAGCCTGCAGTGCGCAAGCGCGGGACATCTCCGTTTCCCTCCCTCAGCCCCTTCCCCCCCTACCCCCCCGCCCCGGCCTCCTTTCCCCTTCACGAAGCCGGCTCTGGGGCGCGCTCACCCCTGTGAGGAGGCCGGAGGTCGGACTCAGGAGGCTCCTTCTCCACTCCCGGAAGATCATGTACCAGCCCAGCCGGGGTGCGGCCCGGCGTCTCGGCCCTTGCCTGCGCGCCTACCAGGCTCGACCCCAGGTGAGCGGAGGAGAAGAGGGAGGGAGGAGAGGGGGCGGGGAGAGACCCTCCTCAAAGCCGGTGCGTGGGGCGGAGCGCGCGCTGGGTTCCGCGCAGGCGCAGAGACACCCGCCGCCCCTTCCCACCTGTGCCCTGCAGCGCGTGGACAGGCTAGGGGTCGCGGGAGCGGGAGGGAGGCGCTGCCGGGCCTGTCGCGCAAGGACGTCGGTCCTCCCAGGTTTGAGGGCGGTCAGGCGGGGTCAAGGCCAGGCAGCGGGGCGCGTCTGCGTTGCGCCCGACTCTCCGCGGTTACCTGTGCCTAGAGGTGATTTGAAGGGCAGGGGCCGAGAGATTCGTAGCCCTGCTGCGGCGCCGTCCCGGAGTTCCCCGGCCCAGACCAGACCCGCGGGGCGCCCTCAGCAGCCCGCCCGTCTTGCACTCGGAGAGCGGTCCTGGCAGGAAGGCCGGCCAGTGTGCACCCGGTTCGGGCCCCTGCGCCCGGGCTGGCAAGATGGCCACGCCCCCAGCAGAGACGGCGCCTCTAGGACACCATCGGGGACCGAGGTACCCGAGCGGTCCGCCCGCCTTCCCTGCAGTGAGACGATCCCCTGGGGGGTTCCTTGGGAGCGGAGGGACTCGGGTGAGGCCTAACTTTGGGTGACCTCCCCTTGCAGTTTCAACGTCGGTAAACCCAGGAGAGTGAAGGCCAGCCTTTAACTGTCTCCTGAGGTTGTGTCTGTCATTAGAGGGGCCCGAAATGATAATAGCTTCCATTTATGTACTGCTTTCTAGGTCGCTACGTTTTGTTTACATTCATTATTTCATATAGGCCTCATAACCCAGTGAGGCTTTATTGTTCTCATTTATAGGACATTTGTAGGAAGCGGAGGCATAGGGAATGAGAATGCCTAAAGTTACATGATAGAATTCAGATTCCTAGCTTCAGCTGGATATTCTTTTTTCTCTGTACATTTGCCTCGCACACTTAATCATGGAGATGTACAGGCCACAGCATTTAATCCACAGTACAATAAAACCTGTTATTCGTTAACTCATCAAGTATGTATTACATGATTCTTGCGATAAGAGAGGTGAAACTGCCCCCAGTGTTGGAATCTTTTTTTTTTTTTTTTTGAAATGGAGTCTTGCTCCGTCACCCAGGCTGAAGTGCATTGGCACCATCTCGGCTCACTGCAATCTCCGTCTCCTGGGTTCAAGCAATTCTCCTTCCTCAGCCTCCCGAGTAGCTGGGACTACAGGCTCCCGCCACCACACCCGGCTAATTGTTTTGTATCTTTAGTAGAGATGGGGTGTCACCATATTGGCCAGGCTGGTCTCGAACTCCTAGACCTCGTGATCCGCCCGCCTCGGCTTCCCAAAGTGCTGGGATTACAGGCGTGAGCCACCGCGCCCGGCCACATTTCTTTAAGATTCCAACACTGGGCCGGGCACGGTGGCTCACGCCTGTAATCCCAGCACTTTGGGAGGCCGAGGTGGGCGGATTACCTGAGGTCAGGAGTTCGAGAACAGCCTGGCCAACATGGTGAAACCCCATCTGTAACTAAAAATACAAAAATTAGCCGGGCGTGGTGAAGGGTGCCTGTAATCCCAGCTACTCGGGAGGCTGAGGCAGGAGAATGGCTTGAACCCAGGAGGCGGCGGTTGCAGTGACCCGAGTTCGCGCCAATGCACTCCAGCCTGGGCGACGGTGAGACTTCGTCTCAAAAAAAGAAAAAAAAGTAAAATGTCTGCTAGGTTTTGGGAGGTGCCGGTATTTATGTCACATAAAACAGTTTGCTCGGCTGGGCGCGGTGGCCCACGCCTGTAATCCCAGCACTTTAGGAGGCAGAGGCGGGTGGATCACGAGGTCAAGAGATGAAAACCATCCTGGCTAACATGGTGAAATCCTGTCTCTACTAAAAATACAAAAACTAGCTGGGCATGGTGGCGCGCGCCTGTAGTCCCAGCTACTCAGGAGGCTGAGGCAGGAAAATCACTTGAACCCGGGAGGCGGAGGTTGCAGTGAGCTGAGATCGTGCTACTGCACTCCAGCCTGGCAACAGAGCGAGACTCCATCTCAAAATAAATAATAAAATAAAATGGTTTCCTCCTGTTTTCAGTAGAGATGGAGATGAATCCATCCCTTTTTTCCTATAGTAATTCCATCCATTCTGTCAGGAGGAATAGGTATTGGAAGCCTGTTGAGCATCCAGGGGATCAAGGGGTGTTAGACAAGTGGATTCTTATCTTTCTCCCTTCTGTTCTTTCTCCTTAGGACCAGCTTTATCCAGGGACTCTACCATTCCCACCCCTTTGGCCCCACTCCACGACAACCACTTCCCCATCTTCTCCTCTATTCTGGTCTCCCCTGCCCCCACGCCTTCCCACCCAGCGTCTTCCCCAGGTTCCCCCACTACCTCTCCCTCAGATCCAGGCCCTCAGCTCAGCATGGGTGGTTCTCCCTCCAGGAAAGGGGGAGGAGGGACCAGGACCTGAGTTGCATAGCGGCTGCCTGGATGGGCTTAGAAGCCTTTTTGAGGGACCTCCCTGCCCCTATCCTGGGGCTTGGATACCTTTCCAAGTCCCTGGAACTGCCCACCCTTCCCCTGCCACCCCGTCAGGAGATCCTAGTATGGAGGAACATCTGTCTGTCATGTATGAGAGACTGAGACAAGAGGTAAGTCAGTGCAAAAGTGGCCTTCGTCTACAGTGGGAAGGATGTGGGTAATCCTTGGACGTACAGGGATAGTCAACTGGATTCTTTTTTGGAACCATGAGGCAGGCATAGAAATATATTATAAACATTTTCCTGAGAAAATGATGTTCCAGCCAGGCACGGTGGCTCAAAGTGCTGTAATCCCAGCACTTTGGGAGGCTTAGGCAGGTGGATCACCTGAGGTCAGGAGTTCAAGACCAGCCTGGCCAACATGGTGAAACCCCATCTCTACTAAAAACACAAAAATCAGCCAGGCATGGTGGCAGACGCCTATAATCCCAGCTACTCAGGAGGCTGAGGCAGGAGAATCGCTTGAACCCAGGAGGCGCAGTGAAAGGAGATATCTCCATTGTACTCCAGCCTAGGCAACAGAGCGAGACTCCGTCTCAAAAAAAAAAAAAAGAAAGAAAATGATGTTCCTCATTTTGGGTTAAGGGAGGTTAATCATGGGATGAGATCTTTCACTCCAAGATGGGAGTAAGGAGGCCTTAAAAATAGAAAACTGGGCCTGGCACATGGCTCACGCTTATAATCCTAGCACTTTGGGAGGCCGAGGCAGGCGGATCACAAGGTCAGGAGTTCAAGACCAGCCTGGCCAACACAGTGAAACCCCGTCTCTACTAAAAATACAAAAATTAGCTGGGCATGGTGGTGGGTGCCTGTAATCCCAGCTACTCGGGAGGCTGAGGCAGGAGAATCGCTTGAACCTGGGAGGCGGAGGTTGCAGTGAGCCGAGATTGTACCTCTGCACTCCAGCCTGGGCGACAGAGCTAGACTCCATCTCAAGCCTGTAATCCCAGCTACTCGGGAGGCTGAGGCAGGAGAATCGCTTGAACCTAGGAGGCGGAGGTTGCAGTGAGCTGAGATTGTACCTCTGTACTCCAGCCTGGGCGACAGAGCTAGACTCCGTCTCAAAAAAAAAAAAAAATTAGAAAACTGAAAAATAGGATTATCTTTTCTTTCCCACTGGGTTGATGCCATCTTCTTCCACCTAGCTTCCCAAGCTCTTCCTTCAGTCCCACGACTACAGTCTGTATTCCTTGGATGTGGAATTCATCAATGAGATCCTCAACATACGTACCAAGTGAGAATTGGGGCACAGGTAGGGCACTGGGGAGGAAAAGCACCCAAAGGTATATACATGACCCTTTTCACTTCCCAGAGAAGTTCCTAGACTGCTTCTCACAGCTGTTCCCCATTCCTTAGAAGCCAGTTTGGTTTTCTAATTCTGCCATCATGAGATTTCTTTCCCATCCCTTCTTCACAGGGGCCGGACATGGTACATTCTTTCACTGACCCTCTGCCGTTTCCTGGCCTGGAATTATTTTGCACACCTTCGTTTGGAGGTTTTACAGCTGACCCGCCACCCTGAGAACTGGACCCTGCAAGCCCGGTGGCGGCTTGTGGGGCTGCCCGTCCACTTGCTCTTTTTGCGGTTCTACAAGCGTGACAAAGACGAGCATTACCGGTAAGAGAGAAATGAGAAAGGACCCAAACTATAATCAGTTCCTTTTTTTTTTTTTTTTGAGACGGAGTCTCACTCTGTCACCCAGGATGGAGTGCAGTGGCGTGATCTCAGCTCACTGCAGCCTCTGCCTCCCGGCTTCCAGCAATTCTCCAGCCTCAGCCTCCTGGGTAGCTGGAATTACAGGCACACCATCACACCCGGCTAATTTTTGTATTTTTAGTAGACAGAGGGTTTCACCATGTTGGCCAGGCTGGTCTCGAACTCCTCACCTTAGGTGATCCACCTGCCTTAGCTTCCCAAAGTGCTGAGATTACAGATGATCTAGTCTCCCAGACAACCCTTGACCTATCCTCACTTGACTGTTTAAGGACAGGGATCCTGTTTAGTTTATGTTAATGTTAAAAAAAAAATAGAGACTGGGTATATTAGAAAAACCTCTGAGCTTCAGTTTCTTCCTATACAGTGCCTAGCACATGGTAGGTACTCAAATACTTACTGAACAGACTGGGTGTGGTGGCTCATGCCTGTAATGCCAGCACTTTGGGAGGCCGAGGTGGGCGGATCACTTGAGGTAAGGAGTTGGAGACCTGCCTGGCCAACATGGTAAAACCCAAAAAAATACAAAAATTAGCCCAGTGTGGTGGTACACACCTGTAGTTCCAGCTACTTGGGAGGCTGAGATGAGAGAATCACTTCAACCTGGGAGGTTGAGGTTGCAGTGAGCCGTGATCACATTACTGGACTCCAGCCTGGGTGACAGAGTGAAACCCTGTCACACACACACACACACACACACACACACACACACACAAAAGTACTGAACAAATGAAAAGTCCTGTCTCATATGTTGAGCCTTACAACCTGGTAAATTTCCGCCTGGGAGTAGAATCCCAATAAATTGTTAGACTCAGCCACAAACATTGGATATAAGTTTTTAAACCAGCAGTTCCCAAACTGCTGCACAGTAGAAATGCCCAAGGATCGTTAAAAAATATTGACGCCAAACACTCTGATTTAATTGAGACAGGGCACAACCTAAGCACTGAGATGTTTGTAAGTTGCCCAGGTGATCTAATATGTAGCAGAATTTAGGGACTACTCGTTTAAACAAATGCTTGAATTCAGCTTTGGGACCAGTCACCTTCTCCCTCAGTAAGCCTCCCTCTATTCCCCAGGACCTATGATGCCTACTCCACTTTCTACCTGAATTCCAGTGGCCTCATTTGTCGCCATCGTCTAGATAAAGTGAGTCCTAGGTAGGGCTGGGTGGGGTAAAGGGTAGAACATTTGTGTGCCTCCCCCAACTGGCATTAACCTTTCTCCCTGCAGCTGATGCCTTCACACTCACCTCCAACGCCTGTGAAGAAGCTGCTAGTGGGAGCCCTGGTGGCCCTGGGGCTGTCAGAGCCAGAACCTGACTTAAACCTGTGTTCCAAGCCCTGATCCTTGACCTTGGAGTGGAGGCAGCACTGAAGACTGCTACGCCCAAGAGAAGGAGGTGGAGGCAGCCAAGAATCTCAGGAGCCAGCTTCCTCTCCTCGTTTCTCTCCTTCCTTCCTTTCCATCTCATGCTGTGTAAAGCTGCTGTGTAATTTAACTTGTAAATAATAAAGTTTAACTGACTATATGAGATAGAATTTCACATATCACTTTCTCTAGATCCCAAATGTTCCCACAAGCTTTATTCCAAAAATAATTTTATTTAATAGGTATTAAATAATGTATAGAAGGAAAAGGAGCTGGTGTCAGGTTCTGTTTACGTCCTTCTCTTACCCTAGCTCTTCTCGTGTTTTGCCTATTTTTTTGGGCATTTTCTTAGCATGGGGATCTTCTAGCTCCTTGGCCTTATAATAATGGGGAGCCACCTCCAGAAGCCAACTGCTCTCAATCTCCAGTACCTAGGAGAGAGAAAAGATCAATGGAGTTCCCTTCTTTCCAACATAGATCTTTTGTTGTTGTTATTTTTTTTTCTTAAATTGAAACAGAGTCTTGCTCTATTGCCCAGGCTGGACTGCAGTGGCGTATCATGGCTCAAAGCAGTCCTACTGCCTCAGCCTCCCAAGTAGCTGAGACTACAGGCACACATCACAGTGCACCATTAATTTTTTGTATAGTTGGGGTCTCACTATGTTGCCTGGGCTGATCTTGGCCTCCCAAAGTGCTAGGATCCTGCCTTGGCCTCCCAAAGTGCTGGGATGGTTTACAAAAATGAGCCACTATGCCCAGCCCCAACCTAGATCCTTATGTGTATGGTCAAAAGTTATCTTTCCTCTTTGACTGCAGGGCTAGGTGTAAAGGTGCCTGGCTCTATTATTATATACCCAAAGGGCAGATACACCTCTGTATGTTATTCAAGATACCAAATAAGCTATTCCCAAGAAAAGTCTAGAACAACATGCCAGGCACAGTGGCTCACACCTGTAATCCCAACACTTTGGGAGGCCGTGGCAGGCGGATCATGAGGTCAGGAGTTCGAGATCAGCCTGGCCAACATGGTGAAACCCAGTCTCTACTAAAAATATAAAATTAGCTGGGCGTGGTGGTGGGCACCTGTAATCCCAGCTACACTGGAGGCTGAGGCAGGGGAATCACTTGAAACCGAAGGCGGAGGTTGCATGAGCTGAGATGGTGCCACTGCACTCCAGCCTGGGCTACAACAGCACGGAACTCTCTCAAAAAAAAGAAAAGCCTAGAACATAAAGACTATACTCTGTGAGACCAGAGACTGCTTTGTTCATTATAGCCCCAGCACCTATACAGTAGCCATTCAAATATTTATTGAATAAGTGTCTAGTTCTCAGATCTTGGAAGATGCTGACACACCTGTTAGAAAGGATGTCTTTGGGCTGGGCATGGTGGCTCACACCTGTAATCCCTGCACTTTGGGAGGCCGAGGCAGGCATTTGAGACCAGCCTGGCCAACATGGTGAAACCTCATCTCTACTAAAAATAACAAAAATTAGCCAGGCCTGGAGGCTTGCGCCTGTAATCTCAGCTACTTGGGAGGCTGAGGCATGAGAATCTCTTGAACCCCAGAGGCAGAGGTTGCAGTGAGGCTAGATTGCGCCACTGCACTCCAGCCTGGACAACAGAGTGAGACTCCGTCTCAAAAAAAACAAAAAAAAACAAAGGATGTCTTTCTATTTTACCCTACCTTCCTCTTTCTGTACCAGTCCCAGCAACTTGAACCTGGGTTCTTAGCTTGCCAGGACACCATCTCTCTACATAGTCTCCACCTGCGTGGGCACAGGATGTTCTCCTCACCTGTCTCATGAACTCTTTGGTGGTCAAGACAAGTTCGTGGTAGAGCAGCCAGCGTGGCTGTTGCTCAAAGAGGGAGGAGTTGGGATGAATGAAGACTGTCTGCTGCTGTTTCACTGTGCGGTAGCCACTCCGAGTCAACCGTGCCGTGTGGTAAAAGTAACCAGCAGTGATGGCCTAAGGAGCGGGCAGGAAAGAAAATCAATGGAAAAGGCAGACATCTGGGGACCCTAAGAATGCACTACCTTTTTAGTTCAGGCTTCAGGAAAACTAGAGAGGTAAGGAATGCATGAAGAACTTCCCAGGAATGAACCTTCAGTGGTCTGGGGAAGAAAGGGCCCTGGGAGGACACGTCATACACAAGGGGAAGAGGGCATGCTCTCACGCTGGAGGAAATGCTGCATGCCCCCAGAGAAGCTTGCTCCTGGGAAGGTACTGGGGGTGGAAAGCAGGAGGCTGAAGAAATGCTGACCTTGCGTACACGGATATAGTCCCCCTGGCAGGAACTGAGACCAACTTCCACACGTTCCAAGAGCCCTTCCAGCTGTTCCCGCACATCCCGGGCTCGGCGCATCGATCTGAACTGTACAAAGTTCTCATAGCACCACTGGGAAGAGTAACCACTCTCAGCCCACTGGGAAGACAGTTAAAAAGAAAGGAGAGATAATTAAGTATACAGCAGGACTAAAGTCCCCCAGTGTCTCTCATTCCCACTCACCCAAGCCCAGTGACCTGTGTGTAAACATTTAGCAGAACCAGGTGGTCACCGCCAGGGAGAAAGAAGTTGACACGGGCATTGTCAGCATGGACGACCTTGTCCTTTGGTCGGTAGAAGATGGAGTTGTTGACAGAGAGCATGGCAGCCACTGTCAGGATCTCCTCTGAACAGCTGTACCTGGGACAGGAAGGGGAAAGCATGAGTTCAAAGCAAGACACATAGGAACAGATATGGTGGAGTGGGGAGTGATCACTGTGTGATGGATGTTTCCTCATGTGGGGAAGGCTGGTTGGCATAATGGCTACAAAGCAGCCAGCAGATAGATTCTGGCAGCAGCTTGGGGGTCAAGGAAGTAGGGGCCATAGATGAAACACAGTCACAAAGGAGGGACATCCATGGAGGCAGGAGCAGGAAACACCGGGGAATTCTGAGGCTTCTGCAGAAAGTGTGCATTCACTATGTGCATTTGGAAAAGATCTCTGACAGCAGAGGAATGGCATTTAAAGGTCATCCCTCCACAGCTACATCTAAATGTTCTAGTTGGAAACCTTAGGAACAAGTAAGTTCCTCAAGGGGCCGGGCGCAGTGGAATCAAGGATAGGATCAAGTGTCTTACCCTTGTGGGCCTCAAAAGGGGGCAATCAGAGTTATCTAATACTTTATTATGTGTTAAGGGATAGTATGATGAACAGAAAAAGACAGACAAAGGGGACCCTGGAGACAGAGGAGGCCTGGCCTGTTTGTGTGCTGGGGGCCCAGGTGGAGGCGAGGGCTTACTTCTCAGAGGCTAAGATCATTTTGGACAGCATGGGGTCCACCGGCAGCTCTGCCATCTTTCGACCAGACTAAGGAGAAGAGAGAGAGAGTTGAGCCCAGTCCTCCCTCAGGTTTCCCGCTACTACTACAGGGGTCCCTGGAGCCATCCTGACCCCTATCATCCTGCCTCCACCCATGCTGTCCCCCGACTCACCGTGGTGAGCTCCCCAAGGTGGTTGAGGGCTCCCAGAGCATACAGCTGCTCCAAAGCCAGCAGCAGTGTCTCATATGGTGGAGGGTCCAGGAAATCAAAGTGCATTAGGTCATGGATCCCTAGAAAGAGGTGTGATGGATGGAACAGAGTCCCTTCAAAGGACAGTGACTCCAGCCCCTCCCTCCTCTCTCAGGTAGCCCAATCACCTAAGCTCTTGAGCAGCAACACGACATTGCCCAAGCTGGTCCTCTGGATCTCAGGCACTGTGGTTTCCTCAAGCTCGTGCTGATAGGCCCAGGCGGTATACAGGCGGAAGCACTTCCCTGCAGCCACCCGACCTGCCCTGCCAGCTCGCTGATTGGCTGAGGCCTGGAAAGAAAGGGGAACAGGCTGGCTGACAATTTGGTCAGGGAAAAGAAAAAGGCAGTATTTATGCAAGAAATCTGGAAGGATGCAAACTGCTCATCCCGGTTCCCTAGGAAGCCCCCACCCTGCTTCTGAGTTGGACCTTCTCTGTGGGCCAACTCCACCTCCCCCACTCCCATGCATCCCCAGGCTGACCTTGCTGCAGGGTGTGACAGTGAGCGATTCCATGCCTGTGCGGGGGTTGTAGCTCTTCTGCTTACAGAACCCTGGATCCAGCACATAAATGATGCCCTCAATGGTGAGTGATGTCTCAGCAATGTTCGTTGCCACAACCACCTGAGTGATAGGATATGGGGTCACCCAGTGACCCCACCTACCTAGTTACCCAGAAAAAGTAATCTTGGAAAGTTAGGAGTAGTGAAGCAGTTGCAGTAAGGGGCAGGAGCTGAGGGAATTAGTAGTATCCAAGGTCAGGAGCAGGGGACAAGGCCAGAAGACAGGGGACAGGGAAGTGGGGGCTGGGAGTCAGCAGGGCCATAGGAGGAAAGGAAATGGAGAAGAGGATTTAGGGTTTTTTTTTTTTTTCAGAGATGGGAAATGGGGGTGTTCAAGTTCCTGCCCGATCCTCCCCATCACCGCTTTCGTCTTCACACAACACTTCCTGTAAGAGCCTCCTAACGTGTATCCCTGCTTCTGCTCCTAGCCTCTGTCACATGGCATCCAGGATGGTCCTTTTAAAATACAAACCTGTCACATCACTCCCCATCCTTCAGTGGCTTCCTATCCTACTCTAGAATTCAATCCAAGCCCCTTAAAAGCCTGGATCACCTACCCCAGCTGCCTTTCTGACCTCATCTGCTAGCACTCCACCACCTCCCTCACTCCTCCCACACACTGCTTTGCTCTGCCCAAGTAAGTGCACTCCTCACTGGATCATTTGCATCAGCTATTCCCTCTGTCTGGCATACTCTTCTCCCAGATATCAGCCTGGCTCCCTCCCTCACCTGGTTTGGGTCTCTATTCCACTTTCCCCTTACTGAAGAGGCCCTCCCTACACCCCAAGGAAAATA
This sequence comes from Homo sapiens, assembly GCF_000001405.40. Lineage (NCBI taxonomy): Eukaryota > Metazoa > Chordata > Mammalia > Primates > Hominidae > Homo > Homo sapiens. The sequence goes on from NT_167245.2 coordinate 1,913,681, forward strand.
CCTTCATGCCAGTCCTCACTCCCACCCCACAGAGTCAAGTTCCATCCTACTATGCTGCCTTGTATCTCTTCATAGCACTGGCCACAAATTGACAATATGTATTTATGCATCCACTGCTTCCCCGATAGACCACAAGTGCAAGTTTGTTAGGCTAAGGACTTTGTTTTGTTCATCACTGTATCATCAACCCCTGTGTACCTGACACACAGAAGGAACTCATTAAATATTTGTTGAATGAAAGTTATATCTCTGCTCAAAATCCTTTGACTGCTACTCAGCTGTCTAAAGTCCAAACTTCGCCAAGCACAGTGGCTCATGCCTGTAACCCAGCACTTTGAGAGGCCAAGGCAGGCGGATCACTTGAGTCCAGGAGTTCAAGACCAGCCTGGCCAACATGGCGAAACCCCATCTCTACTAAAAATTAGCTGGGTGTTGGCCAGGCATGGTGGCTCACGCCTATAATCCCAGCACTTTGGGAGGCCAAGGTGGGCAGATCACCTGAGGTCAGGAGTTTGAGACCAACCTGGCCAAAATAGCGAAACCTCATCTCTACTAAAAATACAAAAAATTGGCCAGGCGTGGTGGAGGGCACCTGTAATCCCAGCTACTGGGGGGCTGAGACAGGAGAATCGCTTGAACCTGTGAGGCAGAGGTTGCAGTGAGCAGAGTTGGTGCCACTGCACTCCAGCCTGGGCGACAGAGTGAGACTCCATCTCAAAAAAAAAAAAAAAAAAATTAGCTTGGGGTGGTGGTACACACCTGTAATCCCAGCTACTTGGGAAGCTGAGGCACAAGAATCACTTGAGCCTGGGAGGTGGAGGCTGCAGTGAGCCGAGATCTTGCCACTGCACTCCAGCCTGGGCAACAGAGCGAGACTCTGTCTCAAAAAAGAAAAATAAATAAAGTCCAAACTTTCCTGTCATCAAAGGCCCTCCCTAATCTTAGCCCCAAATTGTTTTTAGCCTTGTCTCCTACTCCTTCACCACATGAACCTCCCACTAAGCCTACTAGCTCACACTCTGACCTCAAACATACCTTGGGCCTTCCTCTGATGACTTCTCAGCCATTTTTCTTTTTTGAGATGGAGTCTCGCATTGTCACCCAGGCTGGAGTGCAGTGGCACAATCTCAGCTCACTGCAACCTCCTCCTCCTGGGTTCAAGCGATTCTCATGACTCAGCCTCCTAAACAGGTGGGATTATAGGCGCACGCCACCATGCCCTGCTGATTTTTGTATTTTCAGTGGAGGCAGGGTTTCACCACGTTAGGCAGCCTGGTTTCGAACTACTGACCTCAAGTGATCCGCCCACCTCAGCCTCCGAAAGTCCTGGGATTACAGGCGTGAGCCACCGCACCTGACCTCAGACATTTCTCTTAAAGGTCCATATCAAATCCCACCTCTTAGCACATCAAGGACTTCCCTTCTCCACTGAATCTACTGTGCATACTTTCCAGATCACATATTTGGCTCTCTCTTGGTTCACACCATATTTCTCCTCTCTTCAGTCCCAGGAACAAGGGACTGGCTGCTCCTCAGCTGTGTGCAGCAGTGCGCAGGACTCACCTTGCATGGGGCAGGCACACAGCTTTTTCACTACTAGTTGTGGGAAGCACAGGGGTGAAGAGTGTGGGTTTCTCCAACTGACCTTTCGTGCCCCAGGTGGTGTGGGCTGGAAGATACGGGCCTGCATGTCAGAGGGCAGATTGGCATAAATGGGCAGCACCAGGAGCTCCCGGATTTTGGAGCCCAGGCGGCGGCAGCGATCCTGGAGCATCTCACAGGCAGCCTCAATCTCCTCCTGGATAGAGGGTAGGGAGAGCAGCAGGGGTCCCAGAGTCACAGAAGGCCAACATGCCGGCCCTGTCTTCCCCTGGGATACATCATCCCCTCTCCCCACCATGTCAGGCACCTGTCCTGTCAGGAACACCAGGATATCCCCAGGGGGCTGGGTCACATGGATCTGCAACACAGATACTACACAAGCTTCCAAGTAGTCAGCCTCTGGAGCCTGGAGAGCAGAAAGAGATGGGGTCACAGGAGGGCCACCTGCTTAGGCAAACCTTTCCTCTCCTCCCAATTCAACATACACTTTATCCTAGTTCCCCTTTGAACCTTCCATTCCATCTTTCCCTCCACAGGATAACCTTCTCCAAAGGCCTCAGCTTTTCTGCCACAGACTTAAGCCCATCCTCCCTGAGGGGGCACCTTGGTGTAGAAGATGTCCACAGGAAACCTGCGTCCGGGGATTCGAAACACAGGGGCGTCATCAAAGAAGGTGGAAAAACGGGCAGTGTCCATTGTGGCTGAAGCCACCAGGACCTTGAGCTCAGGTCGGAAGCGAGCAACATCCTTGATCAATCCAAAGAGAATGTCTGTGTGTAGGGTCCTTTCGTGTGCCTCATCCACCATCACCACGCTGGGGAGGGAATAGGAGAGCAATGAGGGAAGAGCGCTAGGCAATGCAGTATCAGACACCAGGGTTAACTGGATGAGAGGGGAGTAATGGACACAAAGAGTTCAAGAATGACTGTTGACGGAGGGGGCTCTAAGGAGAAGTCAGCCATCCCACTTATGTAGAGCAACAGAAAGTCAGAGAAGGCCAGGGCCCCATGATCTGCAACCTATCCCAGCCTCAGCAGATAATAGGAAACAAGATGTAGAGGCTGCACACTGAGGCCAGGACAAGTTAGCCATACCCTCTAGTTCAGTCAAGAGTCTGCTTAGACTCAGCAGCTGCTCTTACTAGAAAAAGTTGAAGGATATGTTTTAGGCTGGGCATGGTGGTAGCTCACGCCTGTAATCCCAGCACCTTGGGAGGCCGAGGCAGGTGGATCACAAGGTCAGGAGTTCGAGACCAGTCTGGCCAATACAGTGAAACCCCGTCTCTTCTAAAAATACAAAAAAAATTAGCCAGATGTGGTGGTAGACGCCTGTAGTCCCAGCTACTTGGGAGGCTGAGGCAGGAGAATCGCTTGAACCTGGGAGGCAGAGGTTGCAGTGAGCCAAGATCGTGCCACTGCACTCCAGCCTGGGTGACAGAGCGAGACTCCATCTAAAAAAAGAAAAAAGAAAAAGTGGAAGGATTTTTTTTTTGAGACAGTCTTGCTCTGTTGCAGGCTGGAGTGTAGTGGCATGATCTCAGCTCACTGCAAGCTCCGCCTCCTGGGTTCACACCATTCTCCTGCCTCAGCCTCCCAAGTAGCTGGGACTACAGGTGCCTGCCACTGTGCCTGGCTAATTTTTTGTATTTTTAGTAGAGACGGAGTTTTGAAACAGAGTCTCACTCTGTCGCCCAGGCTGGAGTACAGTGGCACGATCTCGGCTCACCGCAAGCTCCGCCTCCTGGGTTGCGTTCACGCCATTCTCCTGCCTCAGCCTCCTGAGTAGCTGGGACTACAGGTGCCCGCCACCACGCCCAGCTAATTTTTTATATTTTTTAGTAGAGACGGGGTTTCACCGTGTTAGCCAGGATGGTCTTGATCTCCTTACCTCGTGATCCGCCTGCCTCTGCCTCCCAAAGTGCTGGGATTACAGGCGTGAGCCACCGCTCCCGGCTGATACGTTTTAAAGGAAAAAAAAAGTGGAAGGCAGGGTCCCTTTCAATAAGGGTGGGCCAGCAAGGCTGACTGGGGGTAATAGACCTGAGCTGCTGTGATTCAAATAGCCTAGAAGCTCCTGGTGTCCTGTGGGACAACTGCTGCTGGCATCATTCTTGACTGTTTCTTCTTTTGGAGACAGGAGCAAGTTAAGCCTTTCTACCTCAACTCTCACAGGACTCTGCATGCTCCTTGGTTTCCTCCTAACTCAGTTATGTGCATGACACCTTCTTTCTCTTTGTTCTTTGGCTTTTCTGGGTGGCAGCCAAGTCCCAGGAACTCATCCCCATCTTCCCCTACCCACCTCCCTGACCTCAACTCTTTGTGCCTAACCCTAACTGTGATGGTGAAGTCCCCAGCCATTCCACAAAGCAGGCTGGCTCGATGGGCAAAAACATCTGCATCAGACACTCTTGCGCTGGCTGGCTCTCCATGGGTTCTTAGAGATCTTTTGCAAGGGATATGAAGGATAAAATCCTATCTGTCCAATTGCTCCACTGTGATCTTCCAAGACCAGAAATTCACAGCCTCTGAAGAGTCAAAAAGGCACATATTGTTCAGCTGGCCTGACCCCACCCCCATTACATTCATGAATCCCTTTTCCCCCTCAACACATGTTCAACCAACCCCTGCTTGGCCATTTCCAGCACTAAGAGCTCATTATTCACAGACCAAGCTACCCAAGACTTGTGTGGAGGGCCAAGACCCAGAGTCCAACCACTCTGACAGGCCCTGCAATCTCCACCACTCTGAGGGTTACTCAGCCATTGGTATTGAGTTGGAATCTGTCTCCCTGTAACCTCCCCATGGCTCCTAGCTATGTCGTGTAGGGTCACATAAAACAATCTGATCCTTCTTTCCATGTAACAGCCTTCACATATTTAGAGGGAACCAGGATGCTTCCTGTTTCTCCCTCTGAGCTGAGCATTCCAAGTGTTTTCAAATGGTCTTCACACGGTATTTCAAGTCTCGGCAGCAATGCTCTGCTATCCTGGTTGTTTTCTAAACCCTGGAGATGAATGGGGAAAGAAGAGGCTTTCTCTACAATCTCTTCTGTCCTCCAGCCCCATCTCCGTGGTACCTGGAGGTCAGTTCAAGGACCATTTGAACCACAAAGATTCAAGAACGGGTGGATTAATCAGAAGACAATGGCTGAATTGGCTGGGTGGGAAGAAGGGAGAGAAAGGCCAGAGATTAGAGATACCTGTAACTCGCCAGGTCAGGCTCAGAGAGGAACTCCCGGAGAAGCATCCCATCTGTCATGTAGCGGAGGACAGTTCGCTCTGATGTGCAGTCCTCAAAGCGGATGCTGTAGCCAACCTGGTCAAGGGAACCATTAGCAACCAAGTGTGGGCTGGTGTGCCCTGAAAGGAACTTGGGGAAAGGTGAAGTGGGGCAGCACCAAGACTTCTGCTGTAGGGACCTGAGGGAACTGTAGACTGAGTCACAGACCCCAGACTCTACCCCCCGGTTCCCTAGAAATCTCACCTCATTCCCAAGCTTCACACCCATCTCCCGGGCCACTCGGGCGGCCACACTCATGGCAGCCACTCTCCGGGGTTGGGTGCAGGCAATCTTCATACCCTTGTTTGTATAACCCTGAATGACAAAGAAAAAAGAAGAAGTTTGCCCTTTACTAAATATGCACCCTGGGACCAGGTACATTTCAGAGAAAGAAGTTGTAAAAACCAGGCAGGAGAAAAGGAGGAAAAGACAGATGCTGAAAACCAGAAAAGAAGGGCAAATAGATAGGATGACAGACCTAGGGCCCTCAAAGGGGGTCCTCACCCAGCTCTGGGTAATTAAGTTCATGACTCTGCTAGACTTGAGCTGGAAAAGAACAGATTAGCTGAGACAGAGCCAGCTAAGGTAAAAAAGCAGGAAGGCTGGGCACAGTGGCTCATGCCTGTAATCCTAGTACTTTGGGAGGCTGAGGTGGGAGGATGGCTTGAGCTCAGGAGTTCGAGACCAGCCTGGGCAACATAGTGTGACAAAAAAATTAAAAATTCAAAATTTTGACCAGGCACAGTGGCTCACACCTGCAATTCCAGCACTTTGGGAGGCCGAGGCAGACGGATCTCCTGAGGTTGGGAGTTCGAGACCAGCCTGGCCAAAATGGTGAAACCCCGTCTACTAAAAATACAAAAAATTAGCCGAGCATGGTGGTGCATGCCTGTATTTCCAGCTACTTGGGAGGCTGAGGCAGGAGAGTCGCTTGAACCTGGGAGACAGAGGTTGCAGTAAGCCAAGATCATGCCACCGCACTCCAGCCTGGGCAACAGAGCAAGACTCTGTCTCAAAAAAAAAAAAAAAAAAATTTCAGGCCAGGCACAGTGGCTAACACCTGTAACTCCAGCACTTTGGGAGGCTGAGGTGGGCAGATCACGAGGTCAGGAGATTGAGACCATCCTGGCCAACATGGTGAAACCCCATCTCTACTAAAAATACAAAAATTAGCTGGGTGTGGTGGTACGCACCTGTAGTCCCAGCTACTTAGGAGGCTGAGGCAGGAGAATCACTTGAACCCAGGAGGTGGAGGTTGCAGTGAGTCAAGATCGCGCCACTGCACTCCAGCCTGGTGACAGAGCAAGACTCCACCTCAAAAAAAAACAAAAAATGTTTAATATGGGCATGGTGGTGTGCACCTCCCAGATACTCAGGAGGCTGAGGTGGGATGATCTCTTGAGCCCAGGAGTCCCAGGTTGCAGTGAGTCATGATGGTGCCACATCACTCCAGCTTGGGCATCAGAGCAAGAGCCTGTCTCCAAAATAAGGCAGGGGCTAGGCACAGTGGCTCACACCTGTAATCCCAGCACTTTGGGAGGCTGAGGTGGCTGGATCACTTGAGGTCAGGAGTTCGAGAGCAGCCTGGCCAACATGGTGAAACCCCATCTCTACTAAAAAATTAGCCAGGTGTGGTGGCGCATGCCTGTAATTCCAGCTACTCTGAAGGCTGACGCAGGAGAATTCCTTGAACCCAGGAGTCAGAGGTTGCAGTAAGCCAAGATCGCACCACTGCACTCCAGCCTGGGTGACAGAGCAAGACTCCGTCTCCAAAAAAAAAAAAAAAAAACTAACAAAAAGGCAGGAAAATAGTCCTTTAACTCCTTGTTTTTTGGCCACGTTGGAGCATAGGGAGGTCCACATTTATACACGCCCCACTCCACCTATCCATCTACCCGTCCTTCCAAATGAAATGAATGCAGGAAGTGAGAACAGAAATGTGAAAAGGGTATGGTCTTTACTCTCAAGAATTTCACAATTTAGTGGAAAAGATAGGTAAGTGACTACTAAAAATATAATGTAAAAGGAGCTCTGACAGGAATGAGGACATTGATGCCAGGTGCCCTGGCAAGCTGAAGGGTGAGATGACTGTACCTCCTCAAAGAGATACTGCGGGATCTGGGTGGTCTTCCCTGAGCCTGTCTCGCCTTCAATGATGAGGACTTGGTGATTTGCAATAGCAGCCAGGAGCTCCTCTCGAAATGGGAACACCGGGAGGCTGCGGCGGACGGCCTGGATGGACTCTTTCTGCTGGGCCTGAGTTGAAGTGGGTGGAGCTGACGGCTCCTAAGGAAAGAGAAGGAGGTGTGAGCTAAATAGCTCGCTACGGGTCTTCCTCAGAAAGTCTCCCAGCTCCCCTCTTACCTCATCACCCTGGAGCTGAGTGGCCCGGACAAACTCAATGGTCTCCTCCTCCTCCAGCACCAGTTGATACTTGGGCTCCTGAGAGGCAGCATCTCGGGCCCCAAACTTCAGGGACGCTGCCCCAAGCCGCGCCTCCTCCCAGCGCCGCTGCTCCTCCCCAGGGGCTCCTGATTCCTCCTCCACTAGATCCACAGCTCGGGCTGGCTACAGAGAGAGGGGATATGTGAAGACTCAAAAACAGGATGTCCTCTCTGCCCTCTCCCCTCTTCCCATTACTACCCCCGCCCACTGCCCATTGGGAACGGCAAGGCAAGAAAGGGGATGACCCACGTGTTGCCCAATCCCCTGAAGCCTTCCCCACAACTTGTCTTGGGGACCAAGGCTGAAGCAGACGCCGCTTCACCTCACCTGTCCTCGGGTTTCCTTGGGCATGTGGTAGCGATTGGTGGCCTCCAGCTTCTCCTGCTCCCCAGCTGCCCGGTACTCCCGGGCGAGATCCCGCACTCGCCGCTTATATTTGAGCTCCTGCCGCTCGTGCCGGCTCAGCTCCACGTCCCCAAAAAGGAACTCCTCATCAGCCAGCTCCGCCTCCAGGTCCTCAAGCTTCTCTCGCTCCCGCTTAGCCAGGTACTCTCGGCGAGATTTCTTCCGCAGCTCAGGGACCTGAGTTGGGAAAGGACAGTCGAATCCTCATCTTGCTGGAGGAGCAACCCCTTTCTCTACCAATCCCTACAAGGGAAAAATCCCCTGACAGGCAGGCATGAGAACCTCAGGATGCACCCTCTACCTTCCCTCTGCAATGCACAACCAAAACAATGACATACTCAAATCTGGGCCTCTTTGGATGCTACATGCTGACCCCACATCGTATCTTCCTGCAGCAGAATCCAGCTGGAAAGTCCTCTTAGGCAGCATTATCATCTTTGTTAATATAGATGCACTAGGGAGATGTCTGCGTAGCTTATATTTTACTCTTGCCATTTTATTCAAATTAGTGGAAAGGGGGAAAATAAAAGGCTAATCCAGCATTTAGAAGCACAGGACTCAAACCGAAAACAATTCAGACAAAGATAGAAACCAGTGAGGGGGCCAACAGGAGGCAATCTTCAGCCCCAGTTAGATGTTCTTTGGTCTTAAACGGAATGACTGTAGTTTGAGGAAGGGAGAAAAACTGATTATAAAAAGTTAGGACTACAGCATCAGAGTGTTTCTGTAAGGCAAATGTAATCAGGGATGTTTGGCTTTCTGGTACTAACCTCTCTTCACCATGCTGTGTCTCACTTAGTTTCTACACATTTACCTTTGATACAAACTTTTCAGGACACATTATGGATGACAGCAGAAAACTGGCAATATCTATAAGGCCCTTTCCTGCCAGGAGTCCTCCCACTATGACATCATCCTCTCTGTGATCACAACTTCCTCTACTGCAAGGTCAAAGCCCCTCTGGTGGCTGGGTGGGCGTGGTGACTCACACCTGTAATCCCAGCACTTTGAAAGGCTGAGGTGGGTGGATCACCTAAGGTCAGGAGTTAGAGACCAGCCTGGCCAACATGGTGAAATCCCGTCTCTACTGAAAATACAAAAATTAGCTGGGCATGGTAGTGGGCACCTGTAATCCCAGCTACTCGGGAGGCTGAGGCAGGAGAATCATTTGAACCCGGGAGACGGAGGTTGCAGTGAGCTTAGCTCACGCCATTGCACTCCAGCCTGAGCAACAAGAACAAAACTGCATCTTTAAAAAAAAAGCCCCTCTGCTGTTCTACCCTTAAGGGGCCTGGTTCTATTTAGTTGTTTGGCTTTTCTTGTTTGTTCTGTAAAGACTTAAAATGCAGTTTATGATCATGACCTAATCTGGGTACCACAGTCAAATATTCCTTCCATGGAAGAGCCAGATAGATTTTTTTTTTAATATGGGCAAAAAATCAGAGCCATTTGAGCATTAAAAAGAATAATGATGTGAGATTATAAAATACTGAAAAATAAAAATTCATGAGTCCAATTTGACACACACAAACAAAAAACAAGGGAAAAAAATCTGTCACCAGTGAAATGACTGTTACAGCAAACGCCTTACTCTAAAAATTCGTATTTAAAAGGAAACAAACATTTACCCTTTTTAAGAAGGAACTGTAGCTTGTTCCTAGTTGTTGAGGAAAAGCTCTTCTTTATAGACAAATTCTAGCCAATACACGTAACAGGAATGACAGAATCAAAAAATCACCATTTCGGCCGGGCGCGGTGGCTCACGCCTGTAATCCCAGCACTTTGGGAGGCTGAGGCAAGAGGATCACGAAGTCAGGAGATCGAGACCATCCTGGCTAACATGGTGAGACCCCATCTCTACTAAAAATACAAAAAATTAGCCGGGCGTGGCAGCAGGCGCCTGTAGTTCTAGCTGCTCAGGAGGCTGAGGCAGGAGAATGGCATGAACCCGGAAGGCAGAGCTTGCAGTGAGCCGAGATCGCACCGTTGCACTCCAGCCTGGGCGACAGAGCGAGACTCTGTCTCAAAAAAAAAAAAAAAAAATCACCATTTTGCAATCCCCAATAAAAATAACATGTTCAGGAAAGGATTACCAGTGGCTTCTAAAAGCATTTGATGAAAGGCTATTGGTAGAAAGGATATTAATACTAATATATAGATACACAACTGGATAGTATGTCCCCGTGATATGACATAATATGAAGTGCACATCACCGCCCAAGAAGTGTTCCTGCCACAACTGTTTAATCTGAGTGTCAATAAGCTTTAGACCCAATTCCTGCTTCAAAGAAAGCACAGGGCAGAGAAGTACTTAACACCACAAGATAAGAATCAGGCAAATCCAGAATGTAGGACACTGCAAGGTGAGACAGACAGAGAGAGAAACAAACTTAACATCTAAGACCCAAATGCAATGCATGAACCTTGACTGCATTCTTGTTAGGAAAAAGCAGTCATTAAAGTTATTTTGAGGGTAATGAGGGTATCTTTTATTGTAGAGAGATCTTAGTCGATACATAAGAATTACTGTTCAACTTCCTGACTGTGACAAGAGCATTCTGATTTTAGAGGACAATATCTTTATCCTTAGCAGGTACACACTGATGTACTTAGAGATAAAACGCCATGATGTCTAAGACTCTTTTAAATGGTCTGAAAAGAAAAAACATACCACATTTACAATTACAATGCAAATACTACCCATAGTATTAACCATTTTTCAATCTGAATAGTGTCTATGAGTGTTCTTTGTTCTATTCTTTCAACTTCCCTATGTGCTTAAATATTTTTGTAATCGAAAAAGAAAAATTACAGCTGGGCACAGTGGCTCACGCCTGTAATCTTAACATTTTGGGAGACCGAGGGGGGTGGATCGCCAAAGGTCAGGAGTTTGAGATCAGACTGGCCAACATGGTGAAACCCTATCTCTACTAAACATACAAAAATCAGCCAGGCATGCTAGTGCATGTCTGTAGTCCCAGCTGCTCGGGAGGTTGAGGCAGGAGAATCACTTGAACCCGGGAGGCGGAGGTTGCAGTGAGCCGAGATCATGCCACTGCACTCCAGCCTGGGCGACAGAATGAGATTCTGTCTCAAAAAAAACCCGAAAAATTAAATTCAGGCCAAAACAGTAACACCACTACCACCACAACTGCACTGAGATGTCCCAGAAGCCTAACCACAGTCAATTTCAGGAAGAGATATGAGATAAATTGGTCAGGAGAGACCTGGGAACCAGTAGGCCATTCTTAGAACTCCAAAAGTTGGCCGGGCACGTGGTGACTCACGCCTATAATCCCAGCACTTTGGGAGGCCGAGGCAGGTGGATCACCTGAGGTCAGGAGTTCAAGACCAGCCTGACCAACATGGAGAAACCCCATCTCTACTAAAAATACAAAATTAGCCAGGCGAGGTGGCTCATGCCTGTAATCCCAGCTACTCTGGAGGCTGAGGCAGGAGAATCGCTTGAACTCGGGAGGTGGAAGTTGCAGTGAGCCAAGATCACGCCACTGCACTTCAGCCTGAGCAACAAGTGCAAAACTCTGTTTCAAAAAAATAAATAAATGAATTTTAAAAAGTAAAAACGGCCAGGCGTAGTGGCTCATGCCTATAATCCCAACACTTTGGGAGGCCAAGGCGGGCAGATCACAAGGTCAAGAGATCAAGACCATCCTGGCCAACATGATGAAATCTCCTCTACTAAAAATACAAAAAATTAGCCGAGTGTGGTACTGCAGGCCTGTAGTCCCAGCTACTCAGGAGGCTGAGGCAGGAGAATCGCTTGATTCCTCCACCAGGGAGGCACAGGTTGTAGTGAGCTGAGATCGCACCACCACACTCCAGCCTGGCAACAGAGTGAGACTCCATCTCAAAAATAAATAAATAAAAATAAAAAATAAAACAAAACAAATAAAAAGAAGGCTGGGCATGGTGGCTCACGCCTGTAATTCCAGCTCTCTGGGAGGCCAAAGCAGGTGGATCACAAGGTCAGGGGTTCGAGACCACCCTGGCCAACATGGTGAAACCCCGTCTCTACTAAAGGTACAAAAAATTAGCCAGGCGTGGTGGTGTGCGCCTGTAATCCCAGCTACTCAGGAGGCGGAGGTTGCAGTGAGCCGAGATCGCATCATTGCACTCCAGCCTCGGTGACAGGGCAAGACCCCGTTTCAAAAAAAAGAAAAAAGGTTTAAAAAAAAAAAAAAAAAAAAAAAGGAACTTCAAGAGTCTCAAAATTCTATTGGGGTATTGGGGAATCTAAGTGTGACTTTACTTGACAAGACCAGGCCTTTGGAAAACAGCTTACCCTACCTAGTTTCACACCATAAAAAGTCCAGTTTATGAATTACAAGGGCTCTGTCCCTGTCCAGTGAGAAGACACAGGGAGATCACAAAGCCACATAAGGGGTGCAGGAATTAGGTGGTGGGAAGGTATTTGGAGATGGTGTGCCTAAGCTGAATGGTCAGCACATCCCTGTACAGTGGGACTGCTGCCCTGCCCTTGCCCTCCAGCAACCTTCTTGACAACATTCCAGCTGCCTCATATCTCATTAGGACTCAGGAATAGGGAAAGCTCACAATTTCATTCACTAATAGAGTATATTTGATCCTAAAGTTAAGAGTCAAGGAGGACTTATGGGTAGCCTCCTTCCCCCTACAACTTAAGAAGGATCCTTCCCTCAACAACATAAGTCTATCCTCAGCTGGCTCCTAACAACCAAGCCCCTCTTCTAGAAACCTGACCACCCCATCAGCATCCACACTGTGCTTCCTCTGTATCCTCTCTCCCTATACACTCTATCAGAAAGTCTTTCCTTTTGTCTTCTGATCTTGGCTCCCTAGGCCCTGGGACTCACCATGGCCTTCCGGTCTTCCTCGGCCATCTTGAGGCGCTTCTGAGCCTCTTCATAAGCCTAGAAGAAAAAACAAGAATGGAGGGGTGTGAGGCCAAAGAGCCCCCACACTGACAGCTGCTCCCCTCTAGAATCACAAGGATCATTCAGATGCGCCCTAACACAAAAAATGTCCCCTCTCAGTGAGGAATCTCTCTGATTGCAGGTACAGCAGACAGTTGTCTTAGCCACAGGATGCACAGGGCTTCTCTCACCACAGAGGTGAACATCTCACTAGAGACAGCCCCTTGTCTTCCCAGAGATCACTATCTCTGCACTCACAGCCAACCTCAGATTTCACCCTGGGATCTTGGGGATTTACAGAACATGCTGCTCCTATTCACCTTCTTGTCTGACCGTTCCAGGACATTTCGAGTCCGATCCTTGTCCCGCTGTCGAACCCGCTCAGCAAAGGCATCACGCTCCTCCAGGTCCTGAAGGCGTTCACGCTCTGTCCGTTCCCACTCATCTTCCGACTCTGGCTTCTCTGTCTGCTGTTTACTCCCCCTGCAGCCCATCCAGGGGATTAAATAAGGGCATAGAGAACACTTCAGCCTGCCCCATCCTCTCTCACCCTGCTTCTGACTTACCCTGTTTTCTTCTTCCCTTTCTCAGAAGCCTCTTCCTCCTCTTCTTCCTCACGCTTCTTCCTGAGGTGTTTCCGCTTTTTACGTTTCTTCTGGAGGCTGCTTCCAGCCCTACTCACAGTCTCCTCACTGCTCTCTTCACTGTCTTCCAGTAACCTATAAGATCGGTTCTTCTCCAGCAGGGCCCGGGCCTCTCGCTCTGCTGCCCGAGCTGGCTTTTCTACCACTGCCTTTCGTGGTACCTGTCAGTAGAGGGGAAGATAAGGAGGTCTGAGCAACTCCTGATCTCTGCCCTCCCACTTAGCTCTGTTCCTAATTTAAGCAATTACTTAGTCTTTCCTGCCCCCGCGGCCCGGCCCCACTGTCAGGCAATGGCGTGATCTCGGCTCACTTCAACCTCCGCCTCCCAGGTTCAAGCAATTCTCCTGCCTCAGCCTCCCAAGTAGCTGAGATTACAGGCACATGCCACCACGCCCGACTATTTTTGTATTTTTAGTAGAGATGAGGTTTCACCATGTTGGCCAGGCTGGTCTCAAACTCCTGACCTCATGATCCACTCACCTCAGCCTCCCAAAGTGCTGGGATTACAGGCATGAGCCACCGCACCCGGGCACAATTACTTAGTTTTAAACCAGCTAACCAGCATTCATTCTCTTTCTTCCTCATGGCTTCACCCCATCTTCATCATCCTGAATGGGGTTTTTTATTTTTTTTTACAGACAGGGTTTCACTCTGTCCCTCTTGGGCTCAAGGGATCCTCCCACCTCAGGCTCCTAAGTAGCTAGAAACACAGGTGCACACTACCACGCTCAACTAATTTTTAATTTTTTTGTAGGACGAAGGTTTCGCCATGTTGCCCAGGCTGGTCTCGAACTCCTGGGCTCAAGTAATCCTCCTGCCTCAGCCTCCCGGGGTGCTGGGATTACAGGTGTGAGCCACTGCACCCGGCCCCCTCTGTTAATTAAACGACTGAAAGGAAGTTCAGAAGATGAGGGGGGCCGGGCATGGTGGCTCACGCCTGTAATCTCAGCACTCTGAGGGGGCTGAGAGAGGATTGCTTGAGCTGAGGAGTTAGAGACCAGCCTGCGCAACACACCAAGGCCTCATCTCTAAAAATAAAAATAAAAATAAAAGATATTAGCCGGGGGTGGTGGCGCGCGCCCGTAGTCCCAGCTACCGGGGAAGATGAGGTGGGAGGGTCGCTTCAACCAGGGAGGTCGACGCTGTAGTGAGCCGTGATCTTACGACCGCACTCCAGCCTGGGCGACGGGGCGAGCGAGACTGTGTCTCTCAAAAAAAAAAAAAAGAAAGAAAGAAATGCAGAAACTAAGATCCCTACTGAATCGCAATCTGCATTTTAACAAGAACCTTGGATGCATGTTAAGAGTTCGAGAAACACCGTTCTATTGCGCTTAACCCGACACACCTAAGCCCTCCTCAATCTTCTCCACTGAGCTGGGCGTCCAGCAGCTAGCACAGTACCTACGCGACAACGGACAAAGAATAAGTGCTTGTGAACTGAGCTTTCTTAACTTCTCGATGGACCGTTAGGCCAGCCTCACCGGGACAAATCACAGGGCCCCTCCCCACCCCTGCCGACACCTTGTTCCAGAGTCTCAGGGCGAAGTCCCGGGCCGGCCCACTGAGATCCAAGGTATCAGTGTCTCGTAGGCGCTGCACGAACTCCTCGGCAGAGGTGCAGCGCTGTGCGGTACCGATCAGAAACTGGGCGACGTGCCGCTCGCTCAGCCCCAACACCGAGTGCAGCTCGTCCTGAACCCAGCGCTCCAGACCCGCCGGCGTCGCCATGGCGACTCACGCTCCCTGCTCCCGGCCCTGAAGCGTCGGGCAGCCGCGCTCACTGCTGGGCCGGTCAGAGGCCTGGAGCCCTCGGCTGGAGCCTCAGCTTCGCAAGTCAGCTACCTTGGGACCTCTAGGATCTTCCGACATCCCAAAGCTGTCTTCCCGTACCGCGGAGCCCGGAAGGGGCTGTACTTTTTCGGCCTCTAAGCACTACGGTGGCCGAGCGAGTTCAAACCTCGCGGAACCATACCTGAAAACTCGGGGTAATTCTTTTTTCTTCATTTCGCCTCTGTCCAGTTTCTCTGACGCCCCCTGATGGTCAGTCTGTGAGTGCTTCGCTCACGCATTCATTCAACAAGTGAAATTAATTTAATGGATGCCTAATGTGTGCTCATTGCTTTCCGTCCCTGGGATATAGCAGAGGACAAATCAAAAGTTCCTTACCAAATTTACATTTTGCGGTGGGGGAGGGACAGGATACATAATAAAGAAAGTATGGAAATTTTATAGAGCCAAAAACTATACAAAGTAAGGGAGGAATGAAATTCTATTTCAGATTGGAAGATCGGGTCCATGCTCATAAAACATATTAGCATTGTTGGCCGGGCGCGGTGGCTCATGCCTGTAATCCCAGCACTTTGGGAGGCCAAGGCGGGCGGATTATCTGAGGTCAGGAGTTCGAGACCAGCCTGGCCAAGATGGCGAAACCCTGTCTCTACTAAAAATATAAAAATTAGCCTGGCGTGGTGGTGTGCGCCTGTAGTCCCAGCCACTCGGGAGGCTGAGGCAGGAGAATCATTTGAACATGGGAAGCAGAGTTTGCAGTGAGCCGAGATCCCACCACGGCACTCCAGCCTGAGCAACAGAGGAAGTCTCTGTCTCAAACAAACAAAAAAGTGACCGTTGCTAGGACTGGTTTGCCTGCAGCAGGAGTGAAGACAGGTCAGGTATAAGGGAAGACCTCTAGGCAGGAAGAAACTGGGGAACTGGGGAAAGTTGTTAAAGACAAAATCTCCAAACTAAGGAACAGGCAAACTGTGTTCTGCATTTTTGCTTAACAGCTTGAGAAAATCACTGGTGGCTGCTTATTTAAAAGTAAGCAAGGCCAGGTGCAGTGGCTCTTGCTGTAATCCCAGCACTTTGGGAGGCTGAGGCAGGAGGATATCTTGAGACCAGGGGTTTGAGACCAGCCTGGGCAACAGGGTGAGACCCCACCATCTCTACAAAAAATTAGCCAGGTGTGGAGGTGTGCACCTGTAGTCCCAGCTACTCTGGAGACTGAGACAGGAGAATTTTTTTTTTTTTTTTTGGAGACAGAGTCTCGCTCTGTTGCCCAGACTGGAGTGCAATGGCACGATCTCGGCTCACTGCAACTTCCGCCTCCCAGGTTCAAGTGATTCTCCTGCCTCAGCCTCCTGAGTAGCTGGAATTACAAGTGTGACAAGCACATGCCATCACGCCCAGCTAGTTTTTGTATTTTTAATACAGATGGGGTTTTACCATGTTGGTCAGGCTGGTCTCAAACTCCTGACCTCATGATCCGCCCGTCTCGGCCTCCCAAAGTGCTGGGATTACAGGCGTGAGCCACCGCACTGGGCCTGAGACAGGAGAATCTCTTGAGCCCAGGAGCCAGAGGTTGCAGTGAGCCGAGGTCAGGCACTCCAACCTAGGCAACAGACCAAGACTATGCTCAAAAAAAAAAAACAAACAAAACAAAAAGCTGAATTTGTTACTCGATGCTCTGCTGTCTGATTTGTTTGATCCTGCATCATACTTTTGTGATTAATTGCAGTTACCAGGCACTACTGTTAGGAAATGAAACATTGTTCTTATTAATAGCCACAAGTGGATCTACATCACTGACTTTTTTTTTTTTTTTTTTGGAAAGGGAGTCTCGGAGTCTCACTCTGTCGCCCAGGCTGGAATGCAGTGGCGTGATCTTGGCTCACTGCAGCCTCCACCTCCTGGGTTCAAGCAATTCTCCTGCCTCAGCCTCCTGAGTAGGTGGGACTACAGGTGCGTGCCACCACGTCCAGCTAATTTTTTGTATTTTAGTAGAGACGGGGTTTCATCATGTTGCCCAGGCTGGTCTCAAACTCCTCAGATGAGGCAGTCCACCCGCCTTGGCATCCCAAAGTGTTAGGATTACAGGCATGAGCCACCACACCTGGCCTGACCTCTTGAATGCATTGTTTTCTGTTTCTGAGATGGACTGTGAGCACCCCTGGCACCTCGGAGCTTCCTAACTCTGTTTTCCTGGGTCACAACTGGAAACTTTTTAAGACCTTTACCTAACAGGCTACTAATATAATCATTCTGTTTCCTTCCCTACCCAGACCTTCTCTGAACTGGCTGAGTCTTTTGACACCTGGCTTGTTCTCTTGCTAGTAAATTGAAAACCTTTGGCGTATGCTTAAGTTCAATTTGTCTCATATATTTTGTTTTATAGTAAAGGTGTGGGGCCTCCTCTGACCAGTCTGAGAGGAGCAACTTGTAGTGGTAGAAGGACTATAACTATTCAACCATATCTTTGTTAGCCTGGAGAGCTAACAACAAACAAACAAATTTTCCTGATGAGTAAAATATTGATGTTCCACATTTGTATAAGATATTCTTTGAAATGGGAAAATTCCAAATATCAACTACATGGGCACCAAAGCCATGCACTATCAAGATGGTTTTTAAACCTTTTTTTTTTTTTTTGAGATGGAGTCTCACTCTGCTGCCCAGGCTGGAGTGTAATGGCGCAATCTCAGCTCACTGCAAGCTCCACCTCCCGGGTTCATGCCATTCTCCTGCCTCAGCCTCCCGAGTAGCTGGGACTACAGGTGCCCACCACTATGCCCCGCTAATTTTTTGTATTTTTAGTAGAGACGGGGTTTCACCGTGTTAGCCAGGATGGTCTCAATCTCCTGACCTTATGATCCGCCTGCCTCGGCCTCCCAAAGTGCTGGGATCACAGGCGTGAGCCACCGTGCCCGGCCTTTAGGCCTTTAACGATATAAAATCCATTGTCTATCAGAGGGGAACCTTTTCCAGGAAACTGACTCTTGTACATACTTACTTCATTTTGCAGCAATTTCAGATTTAGTATTCGTAGCCCCAGCTCTTTAAGTAAGTATCCCTGGATTAGCCACATGGGTTGTGTCATACACTACCTAGCTGCCTTCATGGCAGCAGGCTTCTGAATACTAGAACCCTTCAACTCAAAGTGTCCTCTGTAATATTTTAACCCTTTTCTTCTATTCATTCATTTGTTGTCATTCATTCTAGAAATAATTCCGTGTCTACTAGTTGACAGGTACAGGATATTGCAGTGAATCCAGCTGATGTAGTCAGCCCTCATGGCACTTCCAGTCTAGTGGACACTTCAACTGCCCTTTCTCATGTCACCTGCTTGTCCTGCGTGAAACCCACGTGCAGCTTCCCAGACCCCTTTTGACATGTCAGTGCCGAGTTCCTGGTTCATCCCCCATCATTTTCCTCTCCCCCAGCCACCAGAGCCTCCCCTCACATACCCTTTTTTTTTCCCAAAGAAGGAGAAGCAGACGAGTTGAAGAGAACTCCATTTTATTATGGAAAGTTAAAAAACAAACAAAACAAAACAGGCAATTGATAAAGGCGGCACAATGGGGAAGGAGAGGTGAGGTGTCTCCTTAGCCACCCGACACCATCTCAATTCAGTTCAATTGTGAACCACTAGGAGAAACAGAATTAAATAACTATCAAGGGGTACAGAGTTAAGAGTTCCAGCCTTCCCTCTTGGGGAAAACTAAGGCAAAGTAATACTGAGAAAAAGTGGAGGAAGCCACACCTTCAGGTCACTCCAATGAGGAGACTGGAGGGGACAGAGGAGAGAATTCCACGCAGACACAGCAAGTAAGCGTGGCTTGTAAACCTGGGACTTTGGCAGGTGGGGCTGGGAGCTGATGGAATTTGTAAACCAGGCTGTGGTCAAGGGAGGAGGCAGGAGCTGTAAACAAAGGGGCAGTGACCTAGGAAATGAAGGAGATGTGCCTATAAATGGAGTGGGGTCTGGGCCTCCCAGAGAGACGAGTGCTTAAATCCCGAGAGTCCCCACGGGATGGTGGGGAGGAAGGCTGTGGGGAGAGTGTACCCTGCCATGGGGGGCAGGTGCTCCATCTCCACCCTCCAGGGAGTTCTGTGCCCCTTCTCAGGACTTGGCGCTCACTCTTGGATGACCTAGGATGCACCAGCACGTTTAACCCCACCCACACCAGGGACTTTGGATTAGGGTAGAAATTGGGCAATTGGCTCTGCCCCCAGAAACAGGGTGGGGAAAGCAAGTTACAAGATGTTGGTTGCCCTTCCCTGCCAGGCTCATTATCAGGGTCTGTCTGCCCTGAATCTTCCGGGCTCCAGGATCTTCAGTTATAAGAAGGAGGGAGGTATATCCCTATGTTGGAAGATGGTCACCGCCGGCAGGACTCATCTGTGGGAGAGGGGGCAATAATGTTAGAGAATGAGTGAGAGCCTCTGCCTTCTGCCCACCCTTCCCCCCCACACAAATTGAAGGGCAGTTGGCATGCAGGAAGTCCTATAATATCTTCCATATCTAAAGCATGTTACCACCAGTAACCACATCCATCACTCATTTAGCTCGGACTCTGTGCCAGGCATCCTTATAACTGTTTAATCTCACCATAACTCCAGGAGAGATTAAGTAATATGATATCCAGCTGTGGCTCTTGGTGCTTCACAAAAAATTACTTAATCTTGGCCTGGAGCACCTGTAATCCAAGCAATTTGGGAGGCTGAGGCAGGAGGATCACTTGAGGTCAGGAGTTCAAGACCAGCCTGACCAACATGGGGAAACCCTGTCTCTACTAAAAATATAAAAACTAGCCAGGTGTGATGGTACACATCTGTAATCCCAGCTACTAGAGAGGCTGAGGCACAAGAATCGCTTGAATTTGGGAGGCAGAGGTTGCAGTGAGCCAAGGTTGTGCCACTGCATTCCAGTCCAGGCGACAGAGGGAGACGCTGTCTCAAAATAAATAAATAAATAAATAAATAAAATTACTTAATATTTTCTACAAGTCTAGGAGGTAGTTTTTGGTTTCTGTTTTTTTGAGACAGAATTTCACTCTGTCACCCAGGCTGGAGTGTAGTGGCGTCATCTCGGCTCACTGCAACCTCTGCTTCCCGGGTTCAAGTGATTCTCCTGCCTCAGACTCCCGAGTAGCAGGGATTACAGGTGTCCACCTCCATGCCTAGCTAATTTTTGTATTTTTAGTAGAGATGGGTTTTCACTATGTTGGCCAGGCTGGTCTTGAACTTCTGACCTTGAGTGATCCACCTGCCTCGGCCTCCCAAAGTGCTGAGATTACAGGCGTGAGCCACCGTGCCTGGCCTGTTTGTTTCTTTTGAGACAGGTCTTCCTTTGTTGCCCAGGCTGGAGTGCAGTGGGTGGTGCAATATTGGTTCACTGCAGCCTCCAACTCCTGAGGTCAAACGATGCTCCCACCTCAGCCTTCCAAGTACCTGGAACCACAGCTGCGCACTGCCACACCTGGCTAATTTTTTTTTTTTTTTTTGAGACGGAGTCTCACTCTGTTGTCAAGGCTGGAGTGCAGTGGCACGACCTCGGCTCACTGCAAGCTCCGCCTCCCAGGTTCACGCCATTCTCCTGCCTCAGCCTCCCAAGTAGTTGGGACTACAGGTGCCCGCCACCACGCCCAGCTAATTTTTTTTTGTATTTTTAGTAGAGATGGGGTTTCACCGTGTTAGCCAGGATGGTCTCGATCTCCTGACTTCGTGATCCGCCCGCCTCGGCCTCCCAAAGTGCTGGGATCACAGGCGTGAGCCACCGTGCCCGGCCCACACCTGGATAATTTTTCAATTTTTTTGTAGAGACAGGATTTTGCCATGTTGCCCAGGGTGGTCTTGAACTCCTGGGCTCAAGCGATCCACCCGTCTTGGCTTCCCGAAGTGCTGGGATTACAGGCATGAGCCACAGGAGGTAGTTATTATTAACTTCATTTCATAAATAATAAACTAAAGCAAGAGATCAGATGGTTTCCCTGAGATCACACAATTAAAGAGACAAGCTGGAATTCCAACTCAGGCCTGTCGACCCACCCTGTGATTTTGACCAGATTACAGCACTCAGGAAGAGTTCTCGTTTTGAAACCTGAAGACTCAATGTGTACTTCACTGCCGGGGACCTCAGTTTGCCCATCTGTTAAAGGAGCATGTTGAACCAGAGGACCCGCCAAGCCCCTTCCGAGTGCCTACATGTAATCCTCCCTCCTCTCTCCTGGACCACAGCGCCCGCTCTGACAGCAGGGGGCGCCCTCGGGCCGGCGGAGCCTCCGCTTACCCACAATCAGGGCCTTGGTGCGCAGCCCGCCCTGGAGCTCTGGCTGCAGGAGCAGCAGCTCTTCCTCATCCTCTTCGTCGTCGGGTTGGGCTGCTGGAGGGTTGGGGGCACTGGGGACCTCAGGCTCCGGGCCCAGCTCCTCCAGTACCGAACTCTCGGAGGGGTATTGGTACGTGGTCTCCAGGGCTGTCTCGCTGAAGGAGATCTTAAGCTGAAGGAGGGAGAAAAAGGGGGCAGGAGGCAAGGTCAGCAGGGGAGAAGCCCGCGGGGGTTGAGGGAGAGAAAGCGGGGGCGGGGGGGGCGGAGTCTGCAAGGGAGCAGGTGGGACTGGCGGAACGTGGGGGTGGGGGCTGGACTCAGGTGCCCCACTCACTCTCCCCATCCACTCTGGGATCCAGTTTTCCTTTCCATACTGGCTCTCCAATTCTAGAGTTTCCCTCTTCGATCATATCATTTCAAAACATCAGACTTTGCCCTGTACGTTGGCAGGGGCTTGGGAGGCAGAAGTGAATAATATAAGACCAAGGTCCCTGCTATTTCGAGTGTGGGAGGCAGAGGGGTAAAAAGAAATTAAAATACATGGCGATAAGTCTTGTGATCAGAACCGAGTCTTTGGGCACCTTGGGGGCAATCGAGTGAACTTCCCAGAGGAGCCCAGCAGACTGGCCAGTGGGGAAAGAACTGGCTGGGGAGCGAGTCTCAGACAAAAGCAAGGTTTTCATACCCACAGCCCCTTGCTGTCCTATGCAAAACCCAGGACCCTGGGCACCTGTTCCCTCCTACTCTCCTCATTCCTCTCCTATCCATAGCAAAGGGAGTCTAGGGCCTAGGAAGAGATGGGAGATGAACAGAAAGGCCGAGAGGAACCAAGAGACTCCAGCAACACACAGGGGAAAGATGAGCCGCTGACACCCTGAAGGCTGGGGGAGATGACAAGGGCAGAAAGGAAAGTCCACACAAACCTGGGGTGGGGGTCCACAGTGTGCCCAAAGGGACAGGCACAGAGACAAAATACCAGACAGGGCACAGAAAACCCTTGGTAATCACACTGTCCCAAGAGCAGGCGAGTCCCAGCTGTTCTCACTGCCTTTCTACCCTTCCCCTTTGCCCTATTAAGAAGCTCAGGGGGAAGGGGCAGGGTGGGATTAAGTCTAGGAGCCAAAGGGATTAGGGAGACAGCAGGAGGATTCCATATGAACTACTTGGAAAGGTCCAAATGATCTACTCAGGCCTTCCCTGGCATCTGTTTGGGAAGACTTGGGGTCAGCCGTACATCCCTGAGTCCCCTAATGAACTGAGGTATGAAAAGAGAGAAGCCAGAAGGGTGGCTGGGCAGGTGGTTGTTAAGAGCTGCATCAATATGACACCAGTCAGGCATGGTGGCTCACACCTGTAGCCCCAGCACTTTGGGAGGTTGAGGCGGGAGGATTTCTTGAGCCCAGGAGTTCGAGACCAGCCTGGGCAATAGAGTGACACTGTCTCTAAAAAAGAAAAAAAAAGAAAACCAGATATGACACCTGGGTCCCCATGGGAAGGTAGAACTCAGGAACTGTATATGTTACTCCTTGTTGGCTCTGAACCCTGCAGTGTCTCCCCATCTCACTTGGAGCAAAAAGTCTACTCCAGGCTGGGCGCGGTGGTTCATGCCTATAATCCCAGAACTTTGGGAGGCCGAGGCGGGCGGATCACAAGGTCAAGAGATTGAGACCATCCTGGCCAACATGGTGAAACCTGTCTCTACTAAAAATACAAAAAAATTAGCTGGGCATGGTGGCGTGCACCTGTAGTCCCAGCTACTCGAGAGGACGAGGCAGGAGAATTGCTTGAACCCGGGAGGCGGAGGTTGCAGTGAGCCGAGGTCGCGCCACTGCTCTACGGCTTGGGCAACAGAGCAAGACTCTGTCTCAAAAAAAAAAAAAAAAAAAAGTCTACTTGATTGC
Organism: Homo sapiens; assembly: GCF_000001405.40. Taxonomy (NCBI): domain Eukaryota; kingdom Metazoa; phylum Chordata; class Mammalia; order Primates; family Hominidae; genus Homo; species Homo sapiens. Next base: position 1,936,973 of record NT_167245.2, read on the forward strand.
CCCCAAGGTGCCCAGAGCCTGACCAAAGCCTACAGGGTGCTCCCAGTATGCCACCCTCCCCTTGCCTCTCTGGCCTCTTCCTCCACTCCAGCCACACTGGCCTTGGTTCCCTCCACGCACTCCTACCTCAGGACCAGAACAGTACTAGCTATTCCTTCTGCCTGGAACACTCCCCCAAAATATCCCCATGGCTCTGACCCTCCTGATCACCCTATTTTGAAGTCTCCATATTCACTCCCCCTACCTCCTGACCCTCTAAGTTCCACTGTTCTATTTTTTTTTCCATAATCACTTACCACCTTCTAACTTACTAGATAATTTACTAATATATTATACTCATGTCTGCTGTTGAAAGGAGCTTGGGGCCGGGTAAGGTGGCTCACCCCTGTAATCCCAGCACTTTGGGAGGCCAAGACAGGTGGATCACTTGAGGTCAGGAGTTCGAGACCAGCCTGGCTAACATGGTGAAACCCCGTCTCTACTAAAAATACTAAAATTAGCCGGGTATGGTGGCGTGCGCCTGTAATTCCAGCTACTCAGGAGGCTGAGGCTGGAGAATCACTTGAACCCGGGAGGTGGAGGTTGCAGTGAGCCGAAATCTCACCATTGAACTCCAGGCTGGGAGACAGCGAGACTGTCTCAGAAAAAAAAAAGAAAAGAAAAGAAAAAAGAAAGGAGCTTAGAAGTTGGTACAATGCAAGAGGTTAGGGTTTGTTCAGACCTCACATGAGGTGCCATCAGAGGACCAATGCTGGGGAAACGATCTGCGGGTGGTCCAGCCTGTACACATTTGACCCCCAGTTCATGTCTGTGGAACTGCTGGTAGAATCTAGTGACAGCAGCCAGACTGCTTATATCCCAAGTTCTCAGAAGGGACCGCTTAGGTTTCTGTAACTGACAGATTTACCCACATTTCTGGGAACCCATTTTTGTTTTCTTCTCATATCCTCTTTTGGAATAATAACCTCTGTACTTTATTTTCTACTCTGAAAATGACTTATTTTATTTGCTCTCGGTCTATGTTTATATCTCCCCCCCTACCCTGCCTGTCTCCTCACCCCCCACCAACTTCTGACTGGGCTTCTCAGAAATGCACAGCCTGCATGGGAGTGGGGGGGTAGAGAGGGGGTGACTCACTCGCTCCTCTCCCATCAGCTATATAAGGTCACAATGGGGCTGGTCTCTCAGCCCAACCAAGAGGCCTCTGGGGTAGGGCACCAGCCACAGCCATCCCCTGGGCTCCAGTGGCAGGGCTGGGATTTCTCTCCTGATGGCAGGGATAAATTTGATGGAATTAGCCTGCAAACGAGTTATTTAGGGAAGGTGAAGCGGGGGTTGGTGGCAGGGTCCTCCTATCTCCTATTCCTGAGCCAGTGTGTTGCAGCAGAGCTGGGACAAGGCACCCAGTCCCTGAAGAACAGGTTGCTGACAGGGGGTAGAGGGTGGAGGGTGAGGCGTCTGGGTCAGAGGAACTCTGTGCTGCCTCCTCCCCACCCCCACCCAAGCAGCGGCTGCTTCCTTATTCTCTCACCACATCCTGAGCACAGATCTGGCAGGCCCAGGGCCCAGGGCCCAGGGTTCCCCACTCAGCCCCACCAGCCTTCCGGCCCCCACCCCAGGCTTCCTGTTTGGGCGATCTGCTTCCGGCTCCCCTGCTCTCTGGCCTAGGTATGGTCACCAGCACAGGTCCTGCCCTGCACTTGCTTCCTGGCTCCCCTGGGATGCTCCCTGGGCTTTGGGCCCCAAAGCTTCATGCTTCCCTCTGCTCATTCTTCCCCAGAGGCACAAGCCTCTCTCAGTAGGAAGTGACTTTTCTGAACACCTCACCCGGGTAGCATTTCCGGACTTCTGTTTTTTTCATCTGCCCAGCCCTGAGGGGAACAGGCTGGTAGCAGTCAGAGGGCTGAGGGTAGGTTCCCAAGAACCATGGCTTAGAGGTGGGAGCTTACGCTTCATGTGAAGATGAATTGGGGGATCAAATGAACCCCCCTCCACCCAAGGCTTAACCCGTATCTTTAGTCCCTGTGGTTCCCCACTGACACTGAGGACACAAAAAAATCAAATCTGAGGATGTTAACACATGGGATGAGAATGAGACTGGGCTTCCCAGGCTCTGGGGAGATGTGTGTGACTGGAGGGACTTCCTAAGTCTGAGATGTCTGAGTGTGGGACCTCTGTCTCCCTAGAGATTTTCAAGCTGGAAACAGATGGATGTGCACAGGGAAGAAGTGAGGCCAGGGCCAGGGGGAGTCATCCTGGCTGCCCCCACTTTCCTGCAGGTCTTTGTTGCAAGTCTAACCTCTGACCCTCTGCTGGCCTCAGCCCCAACCCCTGTCCAGAACTCCCACTGTGCTCCCTGGCCAGTGCCTGTTCTCAAAACTGTCTCCAAATTCACTTCTCTCTTTTGCTACCCTAAGGGGAGGGAAAGTCCAGGATGGCAGGAAAAGAGGGGAAAACCGATCCCTGAGCCAGTTCTTGGGAGGGAGGGGAAACCCAGGGAGGAAGGACAGGGGAGTGAGGGGCGGGGGTATTTTGGAAGAGGAGAAGGCTTTTCTTGTCCCAAGAGAGAAGGGAGCACTGTCTGAAGCAGTGGCCCAGCTGGGGGTGTGCAACCCCGAGGTCACCCACTTCAAATGGCCTCTCTGTGTCTCTCCCATGGGGCAGACTCGGGGTTCAAAAGCCTTCTCTCTGCTCTTTGGCCGGCCCGGTTCCATCTCCCCTCTCCCCTCCATCCTAGGATGTCCCTATTCAGCTCTGCCCTCCTTCCCACGGGGCAGTTGGACCTTTCTCCATTCACTTCTCCCTGCAGTTTCTCCCTAGAACACAAACCCACCCCACCCCCTCCACCACCCCAGGCTCCCTATCCCTTCTCCCCAGAAAAACTGCAAGTGCTCTCACCCTGGTGACCCTGCCCTCACTGATTCAAGCTCGTCACTTTAGGCTCTCCCACTGGATGGGCTGGGGCAGGTCACACTCAGGAAAGGAAGGAAAGAAAAGGGGGTTGGAAACTCAGAGCCCAAGGGAAGGGAGAATGAGCAGCCTGGCACACCCTGAAAGAGACACACCCAGAGACAGCCTTTGCTGGGGCAGGATCTTTTGGGCTCAAAATGGAAAAGGAGGGCTCTGAGAAGGAAGGGTGTATGTGCAGAGCGAGGAAGGGTGGTGGCAGGAATTAACAAGAAAGAATAGAGGAAGACAAGAAAACAGGGGTATAAAAAAGAAAGAGACCAGAGTCCAGAGAAAATTGACAAGTGGACTTCTAAGAAGTCTGGCTTGGCTGCTTCCCTACCTGTTTGTGGTGTCTTTCGGGGGACCCCTTGGCAAGGCAGCTGCGGCTGAGACGGAGGTAGCCCCCCAGAACCAAGATCTCCTCGGCAGTTGGGTACCGCTTCTTCCCAGCCCCCGGGACTGCAGCATCAACTGTGGCTGGAGAGGTTGGGGTGGCTGGGGTCGCAGGGGGCACAGACCGCCGGGGGTTGACGGTGAAGGTGTGTCCACTGCGGCGGGGGGCCCCCACCCCTGGCCCTGCCTTCACCCCATAGAACAGGCGGCTCATGAGGGGATCCCCAGGAGGTTGGGGGGCAGTTGGGGCTGGGGGTGGGGGAGACAGAGGGGCTGGTGGTGGGGGCTGGAGCTCCACTGCTTCCTCTTCCTGCTGTCTCAGGCCTCCAGTCCCAGCGTCCTCTGGTGGGAGGGGGGAGGGCACAGAGCAGCAGTTCTGCAGGGCTCTCAGAGGCCTGCCCTGAGCCCCCGCCTCCTCCTTCTCAGCCTCCCCTTCTCCAGCCTCCACACCGGGAGATTCCAGAAGCTTCTCTGCTGACTCTGGAGGTTCTGGTTTCTGAGTTTGAGCCTCTATGTCCCTGGGTGTCCATTCTCGAGCCTTCCCGGAGTTCAGGGTCCATTTCCACCCTTCTGTTGGCTTCATGCCCCTCTCGCCATCTTCCACAGGCCTCTGCTCTGCTGCCTCCACTCCTGCGGAACTGTTGCCTTGGGCCTCCCTTGTCAGGGTCTCGGACAGCTCTGCAGTCTCTTTTGGAGCTACCCCTGGAACTGGCCACTCTTCTTTTCTCCCACATTCTTCCGAGTAGTCTTGTCTTTCTTCTCCTGACCTCAGCCTCCACTCTGTTGCCTCCAGTTGTACCAAACTCTGTTCCTGAGACTCTCTGGAGTCAGGTCTCCATTTATGGGCCTCTGTCAGGCCCAACTTCTGGTAGGCAGATTCCCCTGGGCTCAGTCTACTTTCCACCTCTTTTCTCCTGGGGCTTTGCTCTCGAGACTCTGCTAGTCTCAGACTCCGCTCTGGAGTTTCTCCAGGACTCAGCCTCCATTTCCATGCCTCTGACAGTCGGGAGCTCCTGTCTCCCACCTCTCCTGGGCTTTGCCTCCAGTCCCGAGCCTCCAGAGGCCTCAGGCTCAACTCTTGGGCTCCCCCTATCCCCAGCCTCCTCTCTCTGGTCTCCCTCGGACTTAGTCTCTCTTCTCTTGACTCTCTTCCCTTGGGGCTCTGATCCCGCATCTCCCCAGGGCTGGGTCTCCGCTCCCGGGCCTCCAGAGGCCCAGGCTTTCTCTCTGCTAGCAGCTCTTCACTCCGTTGTTGTTGCTGCTGCTGCTGCTGCCGCTCCTGCCGGATGAATCGGTTCTGGTGCACTGGCCCGATGGCCTCCAGAAGGACCGCAGACTCATCCGGGTCTGGAGGTCCAGCCTCTACAGTCCCTAGCACAGGGCTAGGCTCCCCAGGGGACAGCCCAAGCTTGGCCCGGCGGCGCTCCAGGAGCCCTCGTTTCCAGGCTGGCATCTGGGACAGGCGCTCCCGTTCTGCTTTCTCTCGGCCTCGAACGGACGCCTCCTCCTGCCGGCGCCGGGCTAGCAGCTGTAGCTTCCAGTCTGGGATGGTGGCCATGGTCGTCTTGAGGTGAGGGTAGGGAGCACTGGGGACAGAGAACAGGAAGGAGAGGCTCCAGAGAGTGAGACAGCCCGGGGGTGAGACTGAGGGTGGGAGGAGAGGAAGTGGAGGGGGAGAGGTGGGACACAAAGCAGGGCAGAGGGGCTAAGGATGAGGACAGAGGGAAAGACGGAAGGCAGAGAACTGGGGAAATGGAAAAAGTGAAGAGAAGTTGTGAGCCCAAGTTGGGGGTGGTGGGGGTGATGTGAGAGGAAGAGTCCGGATTGGAGGCAATGAGGGCAGGAGCCAGATGTGGCAGCACAGGGTTAATGCGTATTAAAGACCGTCTCTAGGATGTGAGAAAGAGAGAGAAGGGCGAAAAGGAAAGTTGGCGTGAGGGAGAAGAGAGAAATGTGGCAGGGGTGAGGGGAACCTGGGTGCAGGCCAGGCTGCCTCAGCGATACCCCAGGGAGGCTAGTGTGGGAAGGAAGGACCAGGAATCCCTGAAAGGACCAGGAGGCAACGGGACCTGAGGGGGTGTTGGGGAGGCAAGGAGGGGCGGAGAGCGAACAGGTCTAGAGGAGAAGGGAAACCAGGGAAGAGGGGAAAGGAGGGCGGCGGCAGCAGCCGGGCGCGTCTCAGCGCGGGCCCCAAAGGTCCCGGCTCCGCTTCCAGCACCGCTCGGGCCACGCCTCTCCCCAGCCCCCACCCCTCTGCCCCGCACTCCGCCCCCGAGGCGGGTCGGGGGAAATACCCACCCCCGAGACTTTCGGAACCCGGGCGTCAGGGCTGCCAGCGCGTTCCCAGAACCCTGGCGTCCACCCCCACCCTGTCCTGTCACCACCGCCTGCCTCCCCCACCGACTGCCCCACGCGACCCCAGAGTGCCAAGGGCCGGCTCCATGTCTCTTCTCCCCGGCGCCTGCAAGTCCTGCGCCCCGTCCCCGCTCTCATGAAGCCGTGACAGAGCCGGCCGTCTCCACCCCGCTGTAGCCGCACAGACTGACAATCTCGGCACAAAGAGGAGACAGCCAAGGTCCGGGCCAGGGACGGGAGCAAGGACAGGGGCGAGGAGACACCCACTCCCCAAGTCTGAGCCCCTCAGTCAACTCACAGGCCGCGGGACCCCCGGGGGAGGGGGTGCGGAGGAGCCGGGCGTCCAGAGAGAGGAAGAGGAGGAGAGAGGGACCGAGGGAGATCCGGAGACTGGAGGGAGGGGAGGAGGGAGGGAGAGGAGGAGGGAAAGAGGCAGCAAAGGAGGAGGGACGGAGACAGAGACCAGGGGGCCGGGCGGGGGCGGCGACCGCTTTGTCTAAGGACAATGAGGAGAGGGAAGGGGGCGCAGGGCGGAGCCGAGGAGAGGGCGGGGCCTAGATCCCTCCCACCCCGCGTGGGACTCGCTGCGGGACTGCCCTCTTCTCGCCCCAACCACTGGTCCTCCGCTCTGTCCCCAGGGGCCCTCACCAGCTTCCCGCCCGGACACGCCAGGTGTCCAGATCCCTTCCCCCAGCTCGCCGACCCAGGGCGGTGGCCCGTGACTCAGGCCCCTCGTGGGACTTTGGGAGGAAGCGGCAGCTGCTCCGAGCGGGGCCCGCCCTTCCCATCTCCTGCCGCTCCTCCCTACGCTTTTGCCTTCTCATCTGGGTCTGTAGGTCCAGCCTCTGAAGTCCTTTGTTTTGCGGGGTCGAGGGCAGCCGCCAGGCTGTGGGGGGCTTTGTGGATGGGCGGCAGGAGAGGCGCTCAGAAGCCAGAGGTTTTGGATGCTCCCTCCCCTACCAGAGCTGCTGCCCCGACTCTTTCTAGCTTCAACCTGTCTCCCTTGGGTCTACAGGTCGGCTGCCGGGAAAAAGGGGATTTGAAGGAATGGGAATGGGGACCCGGCCGCTCTGGCAAAGTGGGGGCGGGTCTGCGGGGGTGGCCGAACCCCAGCGGTTGCCAGAGGGCGTGGTGGCTGCCCAGACTCCAGTTCGGTGCTCCCAGGCTCCCTCTGGCTTTCTTTCCCAAACTCAGCCCTGTAGCTTGGGAGACACTGACAGACTGCATGCCATATGTAGAAAAAGGCTGACTTTTATTTTCCTGCAGAGCATCTTCCTCGGGAGAGCAGGGAGCCCCAAGTCATCGAGTTAAGAGCAGGAGAATCCCCTTGACTAGGTTGGGGTCTGAGCCCAGAGGCAGGGCCTAAGGAGGTGCAGAGACTAGGGCCGGGAGTGGTGAGGCAAGGTTGGGGCCTGGAGGGACAGCTATGACCGTTGAACTTGCAGACCCTGGTCCACCTTCTTGGAGTGGAAGCCAGCGGTGCAGAAGGGGACCCCTGAGGCGCAGAGGCAAGTAACAGTGCCAGGGGAGTGGTCAGGGCAGATCCTTTCCTTCTCAGGAGGCTGTTGAGGGGGAGAGTGTCATGCTCTAAACAGTGAAGGGACAGATGACTTCCATACCCCACTCTTCCTTGCTGGTGAGAAGTGGACCTTGGAGTTCAGTGGCTGAAACTCAGAATTTAGGGTATGGAGCTGGACCCAGAGAATAAAGTCTCAAGTAGTAGAAGGGGCATCTCCTTCAGTCCATGGATTTGGGCCTCTGGCATGAAGCAGCCAGGGCCTGGATGTTAAGGATTTAGAATTCAGTGGGAGAGGAAGAACAGGGCTTGTAACCAGAGTGAGCTCCTCACTCTGCCTCCCCATCCTGGGGCCGAGAGAGCAGGTGGAGTTTTCTTTGTAGCTGGGCCCGGAGGTAGCGGAGGTCTTGCTGATCAAGCCCGTGAGCCAGGCCCAGGTAGAGGGTAAGGAGGAAAGCAAGGAGGAGACGGTCCGTGCCCAGGGTAGGCACCACCCACAGCACTGTCAGCAGCTCCACACACACTGGGTGGCGCAGGTGGGAGAAGAGTCTGAGAGCCCGGGGAGACTTCAGGGCCAGAGGCTCGCCCAGCCCCAGCACATGGTAGTATACCTAAGAGAGGGAGAAGAGCTTAGAAATGGAGTCAAGCCCTTTTCTCATCTTGGGCACTTCTTTCCTCCTCTTCCAGGCACCACCCTTCTAGAACTCAGGCCCAGGAACCCCCCTTCTGAGACTTGGATCCCTGATCCTGACTTCTGATCCATGTACCTTCCCCAGGCCCAGGAGGCCCATGCTTGCTGCCCTTACGAGGGAAAGTCAAAGGGAAGGGCCACGAGGGAGAAGCAGGGAGACAGTAGAAGAGCATGGGAGGAGGGAAACCCTTGAAAGGGAACGAGGAGTTCTAAAACGGGTCAGAGGTCATAGGTAGGGATCTCGGAGCCTCACCTGTTTGAGGCCCATGAGCTCAGCATAGTCAAAGACGAGAAGGATGCTAAAGATGAGGAGCCAGGAGATGACATGGAGCACAAAGCAGAGGAGCGGCACCCAGGTGGCCCATGGCTCAGCCCGAGCCTCCCACAACACAGGGCCTTTGGGTATGGGCTCCCAGTACCGCATCACCAGCTGTGGAAGGATAAGGGGCTGGGTATCCCAGTGGCCTAGTCTGCCCGACCTTGGGAGACCCAGACCCAGATCTGCCCCCACCACAGGCTAGCCTGCAACTCTCCCCCACCTCTCTCCTAAGCATCACCACCAAATATTCACCATGTGGAGGGTGCGTGCTGGGTGAGGTCCCAAAGATGTAAGGATGGCCTGTCTCTACCCTGAGAACTTATAGAATAGATGGGGTGACCTGATAGCTACGCAAAGTAGTAGCCTGTGCCAACCACCCAGTGAAAAGACAGACAAGGCCTTCTCTTCAGACCTAGGGAAGTGGTTTTGAAGAAAGGGTAGGACTGAAGAGAAGGGATCTCAAGCAGGACATAAACAAAGTTGCAGAGGTGAGAAGCATATCTTGTGCTTAGGGAAGGACAAGTACACCCTTCTTGATAAAAAGTAGGATATGTGCTGTGGAGGAATGGAAGCTGAGATTAGTTCCTCAATTCTCCTCCTGAACCCATATTTTGCCCCTCCAATCCACGGCACCCCTCCCACACTTGGTCTCCCTTGGGGACTCAACTGCCAGGATTTCATACCTGCAAGGCCAGGGCCTCATACCTGCAAGGCCAGGGCAGTGCAGGCCACATACAGTGACCTCTGAAGGACCCCAAAGTACCGGGATGTCCATGCCTTCACTCTTTCAGCTGCCATGAGGCTGTGCTGCCCAACAAATAGAAGCAGGAGCCCCAGATCCCATGCCAGGGGGGCAAGGATGCTGCGGTCCTGCAGGGCAGCCAGCCATCCCTGGCGGGCATCTACAGGAAGTTGAGGGAAAAAGAGACAAAAGATCGAAACAGTGGCAGAATGTTTCCCCCACCCTCATCTCCTCTTGGATCCCCAGGCCATGTCCCTTACTGCTTTCAAGAGCCTTAATGCTTCCTCTCTAGGCTGTGCCCATCTCACTTTTCCATCCCTAGTTTCTGCCCTCTTCCCTAGGCCTCCTGCAAACCTGGGGAAGAGGATTTATAGAACAACACATGTTAGGCAGTTGCAAAAAGCATGGCTGGAGAGGCCACGCTGGATTGCCCCTCTTACTTCGGTTCTCCAAATGCTCCTTCTTTTTAACACTCTCCTCTCAACAGTCCTCTCTACAAAACACTTTACTTAGAATACTCCGGTCACCGCCCTTTTCGGCTCCCTCAGTCCTCACTCTCCCGCCTCTCCAAAACTCTAATCCTTGAGTTCCTAATTTAGAACTCAGGTCTCCCTCCCCTGTAGCTTCTCGGCCGCTTTCAAGGTTCGAGTTCCCTCTCTTGGACTTCCCCTGTCATTTGTTTCCAAGCCCCGCCCTCAATCCCTCTCCTACGGCTCCACCTTCCTCCTCCCAGTTCATCCTCGATCCCTCCCGCTCACCCGGACCACCAGACTCCGGGATCCCTCCAAGAAGTGGCCGAAGGGAGGTAAAGCGCACGAACTCCACTCCGGTGCCAAAGGCCAGGATGAAAGAGGCGAGGGCAGCAGGGATCAGGAGCAGTGCAGGGGCCATGGCGAGAAATGGAGGGGTGGGGAAAGGGGCGGGGTCGGGATTCCCGCTGCCACAGGCCCCGCCCGCGGCCCCGCCCCCGGCTGAATCCAGCCCAGGAGGGCGGGGCTCCTGCACGCCACCGCCAGGCTTCCGGCCCGCCTGGCGCAGCCTTCCCCATCCAGCTGTGGATCCGTCCTGGGATGCGTGTCCCGGCCTGCTGTCTCTCCGTCACAGAAGGGAATGTTAGAATCCCGAGAGAGAGCTGTTAAGGGTAGCGGCTCTGCAGCCGCTCACGTGGGTTGAATCTCAGCTCGTCTAGTTTTCCCATCTAAAATGAAAAGTTACTGTTTTACCACAAAATAAATTAATGTATGGAATACATTGTACAGAATACAATATACAGAATAAATTCTGTAACTTACTATAAAGTTGAGTTGTTGACTGGCCAGTTGCTAAGAATGGCAAATAACTTCTCTGTAAATACTGAAAGGTTTGTTGTAATAGTGCCAGAGATTGTTGATTAGTAACCACGAGAATAAACATGTTAAAATATTTGTGATAGTAACCTTTGTCAGAATTAAAGATCATGCAGCTAAGGACCTTGTCACAGTAGACGTACACATAGTAGGGACCTTAGATATCATTAGACTAATTCCATCAACTTATAGATAGAAGAAACAGGTCCAGAGAGATAATTGCCTGAGTTAGGAAGCTGCTAATCCTGTAGGCTAAGGGACCAGATAATTGCTGAGCAGCCTCTCGCAGGCTTTACATTCCTTCTCCGTCTCCTGGGCTCAGTACTCCCACCCTCCTCTGAATCAATGCTGTTGTATGCTGTACCAGACATCTTATGTTTTCCCTTGAATTCAGTCTCCACCCTGCTTTCTGCTTCAGTAAGTTGTCCCAAATGGACGGTATCAATGAAAGTCACAGTTTTTATTGAGAAAGTCCTCTCGCCGGGCGCGGTGGCTCACGCCTGTAATCCCAGCAGTTTGGGAGGCCGAGGCGGGTGGATCACGAGGTCAGGAGATCGAGACCACGGTGAAACCCCGTCTCTACTAAAAATACAAAAAAAATTAGCCGGGCGCGGTGGCGGGCGCTTGTAGTCACAGCTGCTCAGGAGGCTGAGGCAGAAGAATGGCGTGAACCCGGGAGGCAGAGCTTGCAGTGAGCCGAGATCGCGCCACTGCACTCCAGCCTGGGCGACAGAGCAAGACTCCATCTCAAAAAAAAAAAAAAAAAAAAAGAAAAGAAAAAAAAAAAAAGAAAGTCCTCTCTACACGACTGCTCTGTCCTCATCTTTTTGAGCTTGGAGGTGATCACAACAGAGCTGTGGGTACTAAGGCACTGCACTATTCTTTCTGATTTCCCTACACCCTGCCTACTTCTTTGTAATTATCACTTTATTAAACTCTCCCCCAAATTATCCTAATTTCACTGTGCTATTCATTTCCTGCTAGGACCATGAATAGAGACACTTACCACACAAAGCAATGTGCTACAAGCTATGGGGTTCATTGGAAGTGTAAGAGGCCAGACTCGGTGGCTCACGCCTGTAATCCCAGCAATTCGGGAGGCTGAGGTGGGTGGATCACTTTAGACCAGAAGCTGGAGACCAGAATGGCCAACGTGGTGAAACCCCATTTCTACTAAAAAATTTTAAAAATTAGCTGGGTGTGGTGGTATGCGCCTGTAATCCCAGCTACTTGGGAGGCTGAGGCAGGAGAATCCACTGGGTGATGGAGCAAGATTCTGTCTCAAACAAAAAAATAAATAAATAAAATACAAGGAAGTGTAAGAAAAGATCCCTAATCTCTAGATGTTTAACCTGAGGCATTTAAATAGTACCACTCATGAAGAGGGAGTGTAGCTGAGTGCTACATGGTGCTCTACAGACAGCAGGTATGGTAAGAAATCAAGGTCTCTGGCTGGGCGCAGTGGCTCACAGCTGTAATCCCAGCACTTGGGAGGCCGAGGCAGTTGGATCATCTGAGGTCAGGAGTTTGAGACCAGCCTGGCCAACATGGTGAAACCTCGTCTCCACTTAAAAGACAAAAATTAGCCAGGTGTGGTGGCAGGAGCCTGTAATCCCAGCTTCTCGGGAGGCTGAGGCAGGAGAATCGCTTGAACCCGGGAGGTGGAGGTTGCGATAAGCTGAGATCTCGCCACTGGACTCCAGCCTGGGTGACAGAGTGAGACTCCGTCTCAAAAAAAAAAAAAAGGAGCTGGGCGCGGTGGCTCATGCCTGTTATCCCAGCACTATGGGAGGCCTAGGTGGGTGGATCACGAGGTCAGGGGTTAGAGACCAGCCTGACCAACATGGCGAAACCCCGTCTCTACTAAAAATACAAAAATTAGCCGGGTGTGGTGGCACACACCTGTAGTCCCAACTACTTGGGAGGCTGAGGCAGGAGAATTGCTTGAACCTGGGAGGCGGAGGTTGCAGTAAGCCGAGATCGCGCCACTGCACTCCAGCCTGGGCAACAGAACAAGACTCCATCTCAACAACAACAACAACAAAAAAAGGAGCCGGGTGCAGTGGCTCACGCCTGTAATCCCAGCACTTTGCGAGGCCAAGGTGGGTGGATCACCTGAGGTCGGGAGTTCGAGACCAGCCTGACCAACATGGAGAAACCCTGTCTCTACCAAAAATACAAAATTAGCTGGGCGTGGTGGTGCATGCCTGTAATCCCAGCTACTCAGAAAGCTGAGGCAGGAGAATCACTTGAACCCGAGAGGCGGAGGCTGCAGTGAGCCGAGATCACGCCATTGAACCCAGCCTGGGCAACAAGAGTGAAACTCTGTCTCAAAAAAAAAAAAAAAAAAATGGAAAGAAAGAAATCAGGGCCTCCGGGACATGGACAATTTTAGAGTATGAAAGCTTTGAGTTGTGCAAGGGGACTAATATTTATCTGGGTCATACTGTCTGCCACCCCCACAATGGCTGTGCTTAATGTATATTATGAGATTAGATATGTTTAATAGCCAGCAAAATGCTTGGCAAATCTCATGCTATTTCTACTACACCAAAGTTTTCCAAACTTAAGTATTACTTACATGCAGAAAAGTGTACATAAGTAATCAACTATTTTTTAAAAATTGAAATTCATGCAACATAAAATTAACCTTTTTTTTTTTTGAGTTGCGGTCCAGGCTGGAGTGCAGTGGTATGATCACAGCTCACTGCAACCTCGAACTTCTGGGCAAATGGTCCTCTTGCCTCAGCCTCCTGAGTAGTTGGGACTACAGGCATGCGCCACCACATTCAGCTAACTTTTTATTTTTTGTAGTGATGGGGTCTCACTATGATACCCAGGTTGGTCTCAAACTCCTTGGCTCAAGTGATCCTGCTGCCTTAGCCTCCCAGGGTGCCACCATGCCTTGCCTAACCACTTTATTGTATTTATTTATTTATTTATTTTTGAGACAGAGTTTCGCTCTTATTGCCCAGGCTGGAGTGCAATGGCGCGATCTTGGCTCACTGCAACCTCCGCCTCTTGGGTTCATGTGATTCTCCTGCCTCAGCCTCCCAAGTAGCTGGGATTACAGGCGCCCACCACCACATCTGGCCAATTTTTGTATTTTTAATAGAGATAGGGTTTCACCATGTTGGCCAGGCTAGTCTCAATCAAACTCCTGACCTCAGGTGATCCACCCACCTTGGCCTCCCACAGTGCTGGGATTACAGGCGTGAGCCACCACACCCGGCCTAGCCTAACCACTTTAAAGAGAATAATATAATGGTATTTAGTACATTAGTATATTAGTAATAGGTACAACCACCACCTCTATCTAATTTCAAAACATTTTTTTTTTGAGATGGAGCTTTGCTCTTATTGCCCATGCTGGAGTGCAATGGCTGATCTCCGCTCACTGCAACCTCTGCCACCCAGGTTCAAGCAATTCTCCTGCTCAGCCTCCCAAGTAGCTGGGATTACAGGCATGTGCCACCACGCCTGGCTAATTTTGTATTTTTAGTAGTGACAGGGTTTCACCATGTTGGTCCAGCTAGTCTCGAACTCCTGACCTCAAGTGATCCACCTGCCCCAGCCTCCCAAAGTGCTGGGATTACAGGCATGAGCCACCACGCTGGGCCTTCAAAACATTTTCATCACCCCCAAATAAAACTCCATACCCATGAAGTTACTCCCCATTTTCTCATCTCCCCCACCCCACAGCCACTGGCAACCACAAATCTGCTCTTGTTCTCTATGGGTTTACCTATTCTGGATATTCCTTACATGTGTAATCACATAATATGTGTTCTGTTTCTGGCTTTCCTTCACTTAGCAAAATATTTTGATATTCATCCTCAAAATATTGTAGCATATATCAGTATTTCATCCTTTTCTATGGTTGAATAATATTTGATTATATGGATATATCACAATTGTTTATCCACTCATTTGCTGATGAATATTTGTGTTGTTTCCACCTTTTTGGCTATTGTAAAAAGTGCTGATATGAACACTCACGTACAAGAATTTGTTTGAATAACTGTTTTCTTTTCCTTTTTTTTTTTTTTTTTTGGAGACAGAGTCGTGCTCTGTTACCCAGGCTGGAATGTAGTTGCACAATCATGGCTCATTGCAGCCTTGACCTCCTCCCACCTCAGCATTCCAAGTAGCTGGGATTACAGGCATGTGCCACCACACCTGGCTAAATTTTTTTTTTTTTTTTGAGAGAGAGTCTTTCTCTGTCACCCAGGCTGGAGTGCAGTGGCATGATCTCAGCTCACTGCAACCTCTGCTTCCCGGGTTCACGTGATTCTGCAGCCTCAGCCTCCCCAGTAGCTGGGATTACAGCCACATGCCACCATGCCCAGCTAATTTTTTTATTATTATTATTATTATTTTTTGAGACAGAGTCTCCCTCTATAGCCAGGCTCGAGTGCAGTGGCATGATCTTGGCTCACTGCAAACTCTGACTCTCTGGTTCAAGTGATTCTTCTGCCTCAGCCTCACGAGTAGCTGGGACTACAGGCGCACGCCACCACGCCCAGCTAATTTTTGTATTTTTAGTAGAGAGGGGGTTTCACCATGTTGGACAGGATGGTCTTGATCTCCTGACCTCATGATCCACCCGCCTCAGCCTCCCAAAGTGTTGGGATTACAGGCGTGAGCCACCAGGCCCAGTTAATTTTTTTTTTTTTTTAGACGGAGTTTTGCTCTTGTTGCAACGGCATGATCTTGGCTCACCACAATCTCCACCTCCCAGGTTCAAGTGATTCTCCTGCCTCAGCCTCCGGAGTAGCTGGGATTACCGGCATGCACCACCACGCCCAGCTAATTTTGTATTTTTTAGTAGAGACGGGTTTCTCCATGTTGGTCAGGCTGGTATCGAACTCCTGACCTCAGGTGATCCAACCACCTTCGGCCTCCCAAAATGCTGGGATTACAGGCATGAGCCACCACACCCGGCTAATTTTTGTATTTTTTAGTAGAGATGGGGTTTTGCCATGTTGGCCAGGCTCGTCTTGAACTCCTGACCTCAGGTGATCTACCCACCTTGCCTCCCAAAGTGCTAGGATTATAGGCGTGAGCCACCGCACCTAGCCCATTTTTGTATTTTTTGTAGTGACAGGGTTTTGCCATGTTGCCCAGACTGGTTGCCCGTGAAGTCCTGGGCTCATGCAATCCTCCCACTTTGGCCTCCCAAACTGCTGGGATTATAGGCATAAGCCACCCCACCCAGCCTGGACACCTGATTTAAATTCTTTTGGGTGTACACCTAGGAGCAGAATTGCTGGACTGTTCGGTAATTCCGTATTTAACTTTCTTTTTTTTCCTCCAATTTGAGAGCAGGTACTGCTTAAGTGCTTAGATTAGAAAAACAATCACAGTAGACACCTTAGCTCATTCTTCTAATAAGTCTGTTGATCCGGTTCTCCCTGTTGCCAGCATGTCCACTTTCTACAAAATGGGTGGTCTTTTTCTTTACTCTACCTTGTGGAGAGGATAATTTGAAGGGCTACAGGAAGTTATTTGCTTCTTTGAAGCATTTTCCAACAGTATAGATCTCAAGAATCAGATCCTCCATGCAGGTGATGCCATATTTACCAAGAGATAAAGCAATCAAAGTGTCATCTGTCAAAGCAATTTGCTTCTTATTGATTTTTGCCATAACCATGCTGGTAGATTAGTTCATTTACTGACTTCAGCTTTGGGTACCCCCATGCCATATATGGTTCTACAATCCTCAGCATGTTCATTGAAGCCTTGTTGAGCTTCACAAAGGTTCCACTGAAGATTTAACAAAGGCGAAGAAGCTGCAACACCTTTCGGACCTTTGGGTTCACACCACTGATACCTCTGATCCTGATGACAAACGGCAATTTGGGTTTTGCAGGTACATAGAAGTTGCCAGCTTTTCTGGCCATCCTAGCCATTCGAATTTCAGTTCTGTACATCTGCCTATATTCCTTGTGATAGTGCTTCACTTTTTCATAGATAAGCTTCCTCCTTGCCTTTTGAATCATCTTTTGGGCAAATTTCTTTCTCGGGCCTTTGATCTTCAGCTCTGGGAAATTCCTTCGCTTTTTAAGGGTTTCTGGCATAGCAAGAACCTCCTTCTTTTTCTCTCTCTTTTTTTTTTTAAGACGGGGTCTTGCTCTGTCTCCCATGCTGGAGTGCAATGGTGCGATCTCGACTCAATGCAACCTCCCCCTCCTGCATTCAAGCAATTCTCCTGCCTCAGCCTCCTGAGTAGCTGGGATCACAGGGGCTGGCCACCATGCCCGGCTAATTTTGTTTTGAATTTTTAGTAGAGACGGGGTTTTGTCATGTTGGCCAGCCTGGTCTTGAACTCCTGACCTCAGGTGACCTGCCCACCTCGGCCTCCCAAAGTGTTGGGATTACAGGTGTGAGCCACTGCACCCCGGCCCTCTCCTTCTTATCTACAACACTCTACATGAGGGTTCCAGCCAGAAAAGAGGCTACTTTTTTTTTTTTGTTTTTTTTTTGAGAGGGAGTCTCGCTCTGTCGCCAGGCTGGAGTACAGTGGAGCAGTCTTGGCTCACTGCAACCTCCACCTCCCGGGTTCAAGCGATTCTCCTGCCTCAGCCTCCCGAGTAGCTAGGACTACAGGCGCCTGCCACCACGCCTAGCTAATTTTTTGTATTTTTAGTAGAGACGGGGTTTCTCCATGTTAGCCAGGATGGTCTCAATCTCCTGATCTTGTGATCTGCCCACCTTGGCCTCCCAAAGTGCTAGGATTACAGGGGTGAGCCACCACGCCTGGCCTTTTTTTTTTTAGATGGAGTCTTGTTCTGTTGCCCAGGCTGGAGTGCAGTGGCACGATCTCAGCTCACTGCAACCTCCACTTCCCGGGTTCCAGCAATTCTTCTGCCTCAGCCTCCCAAGTAGCTGGGATTGCAGGCACATGCCACCACGCCCGGCTAATTTTTGTATTTTAAGTAGAGACGGGATTTCACCATGTTGGCCAGGCTGGTCTCTAACTCCTGACCTCAGGTGATCCACCTGTCTTGACTTCCCAAAGTGCTGGGATTACAGGCATGAGCTGCCGTGACTGGCCTTTTATTTTTTTGAGACAAGGTCTCACTCTGTTGCCCAGGCTGAAGTGCAGTGGCTCGTGTCCACCCACTGCAGCCTTGACCTCCTGGGCTCAAACGATTTTCCTCTTAGCCTCCCAAGTAGCTGGGACCATAGGTGTGTGCCACCATGCCCAGTGAATTTTTGTATTTTTGGTAGAGACGAGGTTTTGTCATGTTGCCCGGCTGGCCGTGAACTTCTGAGCTCAAGTGATCTGCCAGCCTTGGCCTCCAAAGTGCTGGGATTACATGTGTGAGCCACTGTGCCCATCCATATGTTTAACTTTTTGAGGAACCATCAAACTGTTTACCACAGAGGCTGAACCATTTAACATTCCTACCAGCAATGTATAAGGATTCTAATTTCTCCACATCCTTGTAATCAACCAACTTTTAAAATTTAAATCTGGCTGGGCACGGTGGCTCAAGCCTGTAATCCCAGCACTTTTGGAGGCTGAGGTGGGTGGCTCACTTGAGGTCACGAGTTAGAGACCAGCTTGGGCAACATGACAAAACCTCGTCTCTACCAAAAATACAAAATTCATCGGGCATGGTTGCACACACCTATGGTCCCAGCTACTTGGGAGGCTGAGAGGAAAATCGTTTGAGCCCAGGAGGTCAAGGCTGCAGTAAGCCGACATCGAGCCACTGCACTTCAGCCTGGGCAACAGAGTGACACCTTGACTCAAAAAGATAAAAGGCCAGTCATGGCGGCTCATGCCTGTTATCCCAGCACTTTGGGAAGTCAAGACAGGTGGATCACCTGAGGTCAGGAGTTCGAGACCAGCATGGCCAACATGGTGAAACCCCGTCTCTACTACAAATACAAAAATTAGCCGGGTGTGGTGGCATGTGCCTGTAATCCCAGCTACTCGGGAGGCTGAGGTGGGTGGATCACTTGAGGTCAGAAGTTAGAGACCAGCCTGGGCAACATGACAAAACCTCATCTCTACCAAAAATACAAAAATTTAGTAGAGCCCCGTCTCTACTAAACAATAAAAAAAAGAAAATTAGCCAGGCATGGTGGTGTGTGCCTGCAGTCCTAGCTACTCAGGAGGCTGAGGTGGGACTATTGCTTGAACTGGGAGGTGGAGGTTGCAGTGAGCCAAGATGGTGCCACTGCACTCCAGCCTAGGTGACAGAGATGAGACCCTGTCTCAAGAAAAAAAAAAAAATCTTAAGAAATGTCATACAAATTGTCCTAAATAGAAGATAATGATGAATTAAATACAAGTCTATGACTTTTTTTTTTTTAAGTTTGTGTCTTGAGACCTAGACATTTTAAAAAACTACACTACACCATAAGGCACAGAGTGAATATTTATTTATCACAGAGGTCAAGCCGAAGCTCTAATTTTATAAATCCTGGAAAAGCTGGCCAGAAAAGTACAGAGACTTGCCCAAAGTCAAAGCTAAAGATGCTTCCAGAGGCCAGGAGAGAAGAAAATGTTTTAGTAGCACTCCATAACTGGACCCTCAAATCTACTCACTCCAAGCATCCCTTCAAGTTCCTGACCCCAAAGTAAGAATCTCAGTAAGAAAAAAATAGAGATGGTTTCCAAATAGGAGGTAGGACACCATGAGTGGCATCGAGCAATAACTGCAACAGTCTGGCTAAAGATAGCTGCCACTTATGACATCTGAGCATGAAACTAGCTAATTTTAAAATGGCCATTTAATACATGCATGTAAGAAATCTTGTATCCCCTAAATCTATACAAATAAAAAACTATAAATACAAATAAAATAAAATGGCCATTAAAAAAACAAACAAACAAACAAAAAACAACCTGTGGCTTCCAAATCCCTTATCTTTTCATTTATTCATAAAGATTTCTGGTCCCACCCATGTTCCAGGACAAGTTGTATCAATATACCCCAATCCTTTCTAACGCCCTGAGTTCTTTCTTCCACATATCTTCTAATTCGTGGTCTGGGAGGGAAAAGGGTAGTGGAGTTCTCAGGTGGATGACATCTCCAAAGGGGAGAGGACAAAGGCCTCTGGCTTGGCTTCCTGCTTCAGCACTCCAGTCAGCAGGAACTCAGGCGAGAGGAGGGGCAGCCCAACCCGTAGTGGAATGGAGCAATGAGGGAAGTCCTGAGGGCATGTGATCACAACTCTCTGAGGCTGGGGAAGACAGAGCAAAGGCAAAATCAGGTGAAAAAGAATCCTAGAAATGGGTTCAGGACCCACTAACCAGTCTTACCATCACTAAAATAATACCTCCTAATATGAAGCCAAGTGAAGCACACCGCATACTGTCTATGAAATACTCTTGCTAGGCCGGGCGCAGTGGCTCATGCCTGTAATTACACAGCACTTTGGGAGGCTGAGGCGGGTGGATCACGAGGTCAGGAGATCAAGACCACGGTGAAACCCTGTCTCTACTAAAAATACAAAAAAAAAAAAAAAAAAAAAATTAGCCGGGCGCGCTGACGGGTGCCTGTCGTCCCAGCTACTCGGGAGGCTGGGGCAGGAGAATGGCGTGAAAACCCAGGAGGCGGAGCTTGCAGTGAGCCGAGATCGCGCCACTGCACTCCAGCCTGGGCTACAGAGCAAGACTCCATCTCAAAAGAAAAAAAAAAAGAAAAAAAAAAAAGAAATACTCTTGCTAGAGGCCAGGCACAGTGGCTCACGCCTATAATCCCAGCACTTTGGGAGGCCGAGGTGGGTGGATCACGAGGTCAAGAGATCGAGACCATCCTGGCCAACATGGTGAAACCCCGTCTTTAGTAAAAATAAAAAAATTAGCTGGGCGTGGTGGTGTGCGCCTGTAGTCCCAGCTACTCGGGAGGTTGAGGCAGGAGAACAGCTTGAACCCGGGAGATGGAGGTTGCAGTGAGCCAAGACTGCTCCACTGTACTCCAGCCTGGCGACAGAGTGAGACTCTCTCAAAAAAAAAAAATACTTTTGCTAGAAAGATGAACCTGAATTTATTCAAGCTTTTACAATTATCTGCAATTTCCAGGAAATATGGAGTACAGAGGAACAAGATAAATTATATGACAAGGAGGCAAACCCAAAATTCCAGACTGAGGAACATTCTAAAGGACAAGTGACCCAGCTTCTGCAGGAAATAGATGGCATAAAAAAAGCTGGGTGGGTTAAGGGATGCTCTAGAGTAAAGATAATTAAGAAGATAATAGGTGTGGCAGTATGTGGACCTTATTTGAATCCTGATTTGAACAACTGTATAGAGACATTTTTCAGACAATGGGAGAAATTTTATTAATGGAGTGTGAGCAAATGACCAATAAACTACTGTTAATTTTGCTTAGGATCAATAATGGCATTGTGATTATGAAATAAAATGTACGTATTTCTTAGAGATATATATTTAAGTATGTAGGAAGAAATAATATAATATTGGCAGTTTGCTTTAAAATATTTCAGCAAAGAAAGAGAAAGGAAAAAAAGAAAGAATAAAGAAAAATAAAAAGAAATGAAATACTTCAGCAAAGAAAATCAAAGGAAAAAGCCGGGCGCGGTGGCTCACGCCTGTAATCCCAGCACTTTGAGAGGCCGAGGCGGGCAGATCATGACCTCAGGAGATCAAGACCATCCTGGCTAACACAGTGAAACCCCATCTCTACTAAAAATACAAAAGAATTAGCCGGGCGTGGTGGCGGGCACCTGTAGTCCCAGCTACTCGGGAGGCTGAGGCAGGAGAATGGTGTGAACCCAGGAGGCGGAGATTGTAGTGAGCCGAGATTGTGCCACTGCACTCCAGCCTGAGAGTGAGACTCCATCTCAAAAAAAAAAAAAAAAAAAAAAGAGAAAATCAAAGGAAAAAAGGGATAGATGGAGCAAATGTAGCATAATCTAAATTAAGCTGCTGCTGAATCTCGGTGATTGTTATATGGGGGTATCAGCAGATCTGTCCCCTCATTCCTATCCCTTTCTATACCATAGGTCTTTTCCCCCACCCTCTCACTACTTTATATTCCTTTCTGAACCTCCATTTTTTTCCCTCCAATCTTTGCCATTCCAGCCACCTCTTTAACTGCCACTGCCACCTCACCCAGACCCAGAACATCCTAAGCATACCTTATAGGACCGAGGCATGCTGGGTAGGTATGTGCCTCCACAGCAGCTAATAATCTCTCCCATCTGAGGTGGTGGTGGCTGGACTCCAGGGGTCACATAGATCTCATAGCCCTAAGAGAAAGAAATGATGGAGATGGTATTGTAGATTGGGAAGCACTGGAGGGAGGGCTGAAGCACAGGTTAAAAGATAGCCTCTCACCTCTAGCAGCCTTCGCTCCCGAGCCCTGCTCAGTGCGTCTTGAAGGCTAAAGCCAAAGTTCTTCTCTTGCTCAGGGTCGGTCACCACATATTCATCCGGGGGTAAGAAGAAACCAGCCTTGCGGGACTAAGGACGGCAGCAGTCAGCATCAAAGCTCAGCCCAGCCCCTCAATCAGCTCTGCTGCCTAGCATTTAGAGAGAGCTCACAAAATGTCTTTTAAATCAATGCAGGCTTCTGGCTCACCAATGCCCCTGTCTTCCTGTAACGCCTCTTCCCTTCCACCACTTTCTAGGGCACTATATGAGCAGTCTTGCCACTATATCGGTCTGTCATCATCCCTTGGCCTCTCACCTGATGCAGCCAGTCCAGGGACAGAATGGGGATTCCCCGCCCCAGGGCACACAGGAACTTGACTGTCCGGCGGATGCGATCAGTGACCAGGTGGGAAGCCTCTGCCGCTGAACCAGCCAGACTTCCCCCCAGTGCCAGCACAGCCCGCTCTCCCCGAGCATCCACCACTCCTGTGAAGAGCACCTGTGGAAGGGTTGACCTGAGGTGGTTACGGCAACCCATGCCATCAGCACCCATCTCTACAATCCTCTAGGTCTCCTTGCATCCTCCCCTCATCTCTGTCTCCCACAAAGTCCCATGCCTTTGTCTCTTACTTTGGGGGCTGTTGATTCTTGGTTAAGTTTGGTCCGTCGGAGGCTGCGGCTTGGTATTCTGTTGGGCTCCTCCTCTGCCTGGTCTCTCTTTCTCTTGCCTGGTTTTGGAGTCACGACATCCTGAGATTGAGAAAAATCTTGGTGGGAGTTTCAGAGCCCTGAAGTCATTTTTCCCAGCTTTGTGGTCCCAACCCTCTCCTCACCTCTTCCTTCCCTGGCTTCTCTGCAGTATCTTCTTCCTCTTCCTTGATAATCACTGTCTTCTGGGAGACTTCCCCTCTTTGGGGCTGTTTTTGATGTGGTGGTGAATCCATGGTAGCTAAAGACCTCTTGCGGCTTTGAGAGGCCTTAGGCTGGAGCTCCGGGGTGAACCTAGATCTACCTGCTGGTTCCACCTTTTGGATCTGGGAGGCATGAATTGGTGTCTCAAGAAGCTGGGGAGAGGCAGGCTCAGGAATGGCTGTAAGGGATTCAGCTGCTCTCACTGCTCCCCATCTTTGGTTCCTTGAGGCCTGGGATTTAGGTTCCAAGGGTGCAGAGCAAGGCTTATGGTCAATGGGAGCTGCGAGGGAGCCAGGGTTCCCAGCGGCTCTCTGCCTCTTGATGCAACTGGGTTGAGTAATAGGCTCAGGGGAAATAGGCTGGTCTGTGGTGACAGGAGATTGGAATTCAGGGGTGGTAGGAACCGGCATAGCTCTTACTGTGGAAGACCTCAGTGTTTTGCTCTGACCACCCTGAGCTATGGCCTCAGGGGTGACGGACTGGTCTGTGGGGGTAAAAGGCTCAAGATCAGACGCTGCTGGTTCAACTGGTTTGGGAGTCTTGACAGAGGACCTATTTGTCTTTCTCCTAGTGGCCCTAGATGTGAGCTTGGGGGTGACAGGCTGGTCTGTGGAGGTGGTAGGATGGGGCTCAGGGGCTGTGGGGACAACTGGCTCAGGGGTCTTGACAGAGGACCTATTTGTCCTGCACCTAGTGGCCCGAGATGTGGGCTCAGGGGTGACAAGCTGGTTTCTGGAGGTGGAAGGCTGAAGCTCAGGGGCTATAGGGACAATTGATTCAGGGGTCTTGACAGAGGACCTATTTGTCCTGCCCCTAGTGGCCCGAGATGTGGGCTCAGGGGTGACAGGTTGGTCTGTGGAGGTGGAAGGCTGGAGCTCAGGGGCTGCGGGCACAACTGTTTCAGGGGTCTTGACAGAGGACCGATTTTTTCTTCCCCTAGTGGTCCGAGATGTGGGCTCAGAGGTGACAGGCTGGTCTGTGGAGGCGGAAGCCTGTAGCTCAGGGGCTGTGGGGACAACTGTTTCAGGAGTCTTGACAGAGGATCTATCTGTTCTTCCCCTAGTAGCCTGAGACGTAGGCTCAGGGGTAACAGGCTGGTCTGTGGAGGTGGAAGGCTGGAGCTCAGGGGCTGTGGGGACAACTGTTTCAGGGGTCTTCACAGAGGACCTATTTGTCCTGCCCCTGGTGGCCTGAGATGTGGGCTCAGGAGTGACAGGTTGGTCTGTGGAAGTGGAAGGCTCGAGCTTAGGGGCTGTGGGGACAAGTGTTTCAGGGGTCTTGCCAGAGGATCTATTTTTTCTTCCCCTAGTAGCCCGAGATGTGGGCTCAGGGGTGACAGGCTGCTCTGTGGAGGTGGAAGGTGGGAGCTCAGGGGCTATAGGGACAGTTGATTCAGGGTTCTTCACAGAGGACATATTTGTCCTGCTCCTAGTGGTCCGAGATGTGGGCTTAGGGGTGACAGGTTGGTCTGTGGAGGTGGAAATCTGGAGCTCAGGGGCTGTGGGGACAACTGTTTCAGGGGTCTTGACAGAGGACATATTTGTCCTGCTCCTAGTGGTCCGAGATGTGGGCTTGGGGGTGACAGGTCGGTCTGTGGAGGTGGAAGGCCGGAGCTCAGGGGCTGTGGGCACAACTGGTTCAGGGGTCTTGACAGAGGATCTATTTTTTCTTCCCCTAGTAGCCTGATATGTGGGCTCAGAAGTGACAGGCTGGTCTGTGGAGGTGGAAGGCTGGAGCTCAGGGGCTGTGGGGACAACTGGTTCAGGGGTCTTGACAGAGGATCTATTTTTTCTTCCCCTAGTAGCCTGAGAGGTGGGTTCAGAGGTGACAGGTCGGTCGGTGGAGGTGGAAGGCTGGAGCTCAAGGGCTGTGGGCACAACTGTTTCAGGGGTCTTGACAGAGGATCTACTTTTTCTTCCCCTAGTAACCTGAGATGTGGGCTCAGAGGTGACAGGCTGGTCTGTGGAGGTGGAAGGCTGGAGCTCAGGGGCTGTGGGGACAACTGGTTCAGGGGTCTTGACAGAGGACCTATTTGTCCTGCTCCTAGTGGCCTGAGATGTGGGCTTGGGAGTGACTGGCTGGGCTGTGGAGGTGGAAGGGTGGGGCTCAGGGGCAGCAGAGGTAGCTGGAAAGGGTGTCATTCTGGAGGACTTCCGAGTTCTAATTTTAGGCTTTGGGTGGAAAGGCTCCAGCTCTGAGGACAAGGGAGCCTCTGGAGCTTCCTGACTCCCATCTTGCCTGGTCTTACGAACGGTTGGCTTGATAGAAGGTAAAAGGGGAGAAAGAAGGGGCGGAGGTGCAAGATGTTTCTGGCTCTGAGAGTTAAGGGGCTTTTGGGGTGGGGCTGGGGCTTCAGGTACTGTAGGAGGCAGACAAGCATCTGGAGATTCCTGATCGCCCTAGGGAGAAACAGAAGCAAGTGAGGGGGAGGAGGTGGAGAAAAGAGATAGAACTTGGATACTGTTCTTGATACTTGTTTATGGTTAGATAGGCTTACCAGATTTCCACCGGGCGTGGTGGCTCACGGCTATAATCCCAGCACTTTGGGAGGCCGAGGCGGGCGGATCACGAGGTCAGGAGTTCAAGACCAGCCTGGCCAACATAGTGAAACCCCGTCTCTACTAAAAATACAAAAAAAAAGGCCAGGCATGGTGGCTGATGCCTGTAATCCCAGCACTTTGGGAGGCCGAGGCGGGTGGATCACAAGGTCAGGAAACCGAGACCATCCTGGCTAACACGGTGAAACCCCGTCTCTACTAAAAAATACAAAAAATTAGCCGGGCGTGGTGGCGGGCGCCTGTAGTCCCAGCTACTTGGAAGGCTGAGGCAGGAGAATGGCGT
Source organism: Homo sapiens (assembly GCF_000001405.40). Classification (NCBI taxonomy): domain Eukaryota; kingdom Metazoa; phylum Chordata; class Mammalia; order Primates; family Hominidae; genus Homo; species Homo sapiens. The sequence continues at coordinate 1,962,393 of NT_167245.2, forward strand.
GAACTCGGGAGGCGGAGCTTGCAGTGAGCCGAGATGGTGCCACTGCACTCCAGCCTGGGGGACAGAGCAAGACTCTGTCTAAAAAAAAAAAAAAAAAAAAAAAAATTAGCTAGGTGTGTTGGCAGGCGCCTAGTAGTCCCAGCTACCTGGGAGGCTGAGGGAGGAGAGTCGCTTGAACCCGGGAGGCAGAGGTTGCAGTGAGCCAAGATCGCGCCACTGCACTCCAGCCTGGGTGACAGAGTGAGACTGTCTCAAAAAAAACAAAAAAATACACAAAAATTAGCCGGGTGACATGCGCCTGTAGTCCCAGCTACTTGGGAGGCTGCGGCAGGAAAATTGTTTGAACCCAAGAGACGGAGGTTACAGTAAGCTGAGATCACGCCACTGCACACTCCAGCCTGGGTGACAGAGACAGACTCTGTCTCAAAAAAGAACAAAAACAAAAAATATGCTCACTGGATTTTCCTTTCTGTCTATGATCTCTCCTCCATTAGACTGGGATCTACCTGGGAAGCTACCTTTTTCCCACAGACCTGTCTCCATAATGCTACTATAGTGTTCTCCACACGTGGATGATGGTAAGGAAAAGGATGGCTGGGGCAAAGAAAGAAGAAACACGAAGGGTCTTTCTTTTGAGTCAGGTAGGAGATACAACTTAGGAAACAGATATGGAAAACAACGGGTGCCGAGGATAAAGGAATAGAAGCCAATCAAGGCGTGACAAAAATGGAAGAAAACTGAATAATGAGAAAGGAATAGATTAAAGTGAGGCTAGGTGAAAGAGCATTGGAGAAGATATAGAGATGACTTGTGGAATAGGAGGTAGAAAAAGTAGCTCTCACCCTGGAAACCTTCTCAGCAGCTCTGATCCTGGAAGCCTTCTCAGCAGGTGGCATCTTGCAATTCAGGAGGCCTAGACAGAAAGTAAACACAAAGGTGGCTGAGTTCCAAGCAGCTGGTTGCCCAGGGGTTGATTATCACGAGGCCTGTGTATCACCTTGGGTTCCCCTCTGCCTTCACTTACCTTTCTGATGCCTCCTGGGGCTCACTGGGGATCCCCTTCCACCTGACTGGCTCCCAGAAGGTACGGGGGCTGAGGTAGGTCCCGGAAGGTCCCCCGCCCCCACCCCAGGCTCTGGTGTTGGGCTGGAGGCCTGCCCTTTCTGGTCCTGGCTCCCTCCCTCTGGCTCCCCTCTCTGTGTATCTCTCTCCAGGATCACTTTGGGCACCTTCTCTTCTAACTCGGCTGGATCGCACTCTCTGTTTGCTACTGGTCTCTCTACTTCTCTCTCAAATGCTTTGCTTGGAAGGGTCTGCTTCTGTACTTGTTTCTCTTGTATTTCCTCAGATGTCTCAATTTCTACCTTCAAACTCTCCCTATCTCTTTCAGGACTTGCACTTTCCCCATTTTTGTCAGATTCTTGTCTCTGGGTGTCTCTAGCTAACAACTGTTTTTGTTCTCTGTCCTGTTTCCCCTTGGTTAATTCTTCCTCTCCTGTCACATCTGTCTGTCTTTCTGGTAGCAGTTTCTCAGTTTCTCTCTCCAATGGCCCTCTCTCAGGGCCCACCCTCTCTGCTGTTTCTTTTGGTATACCCATGACTTTATCCACAGTCTGCCTCCCTCTGCCTTGAATCCCCATTGGCTCTGTGTGAACTGGGCTCTCTGGATGTTGGTCTCCTGGTATTGCCCTAGGTGGAGACAGGCAAGGTCCATAGGCCTCAAGGTGCGTGTCAAAAGGCTGGGTCTCAGAGTCCTCAGACTCTCTCAGACAGAATGGCTGTGTAGCCAGGACCTCCCATGGTTCATCTAGGGTACCTGGAAGGGGAGGAAGGAAGAGAGAGAGAGGGAGAGGGAGAGAAAAGAGGGAGAGGAAGAGGGAAAGGGAAGTACAGGTTGACATAATAAATATGATGAGAAAGGATTTAGATAAACTCATGAATAATAAATCTGAACAGGTTATTAAAGGTAAGCTGGGAATAAGGGTGGTAGTTATAACATTTAACGTTTGTCTCAAAAAGGTCATAGCCTTAGGCGGGCATGGTGGCTCAGACATGTAATCCCAGGACTTTGGGAGGCCAAGACATGAGGATTGCTTGAGGCCAGGAGTTTGAGACTAGCCTGGACAACATGGCAAAACCCCATCTCTACAAAAAATACAAAAAAATTAGGTGTGGGGACGGGGACCTGTAGTCCTGTAGTCTCAGCTACCCGGGAGGCTGAGGTAGGAGAACTACTTGAACCCCAAAGGTCAAGACTGTAGTGAGCTGTGATCATACCACTGCACTTCAGCCTGAGTGACAGAGACTCTGTCTCAAAAAAAAAAAAAAAAAAAAACCCAAGAGAAAAAGAAAAACATCATAGCCTAATATGAGTTCCCTGAATAGTCTCTCATCATACCACTGCATTCCAGCCTGAGTGACAGAGACCCTGTCTCAAAAAAAGAAAGAAAGAAAGAAAGAAAGAAAAACATCATAGCCTAATAAGAGAGTTCCCTGAATAGTCTCTCTCTCTCAAGACAGTTTCACTCTGTCACCCAGGCTGGAGTGCAGTGGCATGATGTTGGCTCACTGCAACTCCCAACTGCTGGGCTCAGGAGATCCTCCCACCTCAGCCTCCCAAGTAGCTGGGACTACGGCATGTGCCAAAGTGCCCGGCTAATTTTTTGTATTTGTTGTAGAGATGGGGTTTGGTCTTGAACTCTTAGACTCAAGTGATCCACCCACATTGGTCTCCCAAAGTGCTGGGATTACAGGTGTGAGCCACCATGCTTGGCTGGAATTTCCTTCTTTTTAAAGGCTGAATAGTATTCCACTGTGTATATATACCACATTTTCTTTTTTCTTCATTGACACATAATAATTGTACATATTTATGGGGTACCTGTGCTATTTTGACTCATGCATACAATGTACAATGATAAAACCAAGATAATTGGGATATCCACTATCTCAAACATTTATCATTTCTTTGTCTTGGAAACATATCAAATCTCTTCTAGCTATTTTGAAATACACAATAAATTATTAACTATAGTAACACTACTGTGGAACTGAACACTAGAACTTATTCATTCAATCTGACTGGATTTTTGTATTCATTAACCAACCTCTTTATGCATTCTGTCCCTCTACCCTTCCTAGCCTTTGGTAACCACCATTCTACTCTCTACTTCCATGAGATCCATGTTTTTAGCTCCCACATGAGTGAGCATACAATATTTGCCTTTCTGTGCTGACTTATTTCACTTAACATAATGTCCTCAGGGTTCATCCATGTTGCTGCAGATGACAGGATTTCATTCTCTTCTGTTGCTGAATACTGTTCCACTGTGTATATATACACATTTTCTTTTTTTTTTAGATTGAGTCTTGCTCTGTCACCCAGTTTGGAGTGCAGTGGCATGACCTCAGCTCACTGCAACCTCTGCGTCTTAGGCAGCAATCCTCCCATCTTAGCCTCCCGAGTAGCTAAGACTACAGGTGCATGCCACCATGCCCAGCTAAATTTTGTATTTTGAGCCACTGCACCCAGCCTATATACACATTTTCTTTTTTTTTATTATTAGAGATGAAGTCTCACTCTGTTGCCCATGTTGGAGTGCAGTGGTGTGACCTTGGCTCACTGCAACCTCTGCCTCCGGGGTTCAAATGAGTCTCCTGCTTCAGTCTCCCGAGTAGCTGGGACTACAGGCACCTGCCACCATGCCCAGCTAATTTTTGTATTTTTAGTAGAGACAGGGTTTCACCATGTTGGCCAGGCTGGTCTCAAACTCCTGACCTCATGTGATCCACCCACTTCGGCTTCCCAAAGTGCTGGGATTACAGGCATGAGGCACTGTGCCCGGCCTACATTTTCTTTTCTTTCGTTTTTTTGAGACAGAGTTTCACTCTTGTTGCCCAGGCCAGAGTGCGATGGCACAATCTCAGCTCACTGCAACCTCTGCCTCCTGGGTTCAAGGGATTCTCCTGACTCAGTCTCCTGAGTAGCTGGGATTACAGGCATGCACCACCACACCCGGCTAATTTTGTATTTTTAGTAGAGACGGGGTTTCTCCATGTTGGTCAGGCTGGTCTCAAGCTCCCGATCTCAGGTGATCTGCCTGCCTTGGCCTCCCAAAGTGTTGGGATTAGAGGTGTGAGCCACTGTGCCCGACCCCGGCCTACATTTTCTTTATCCATTCATCTGTTGATGGACATTTAGTTTGATTTCATATCTGCCTATTGTGAACAGTGCTGCAATAGTGTGTGTGTGTTTTTTTTAAGAGACATTGGGGGTGGGGGTTGAGGGATGGGCTATTGCCCAGACTGGGCTCAACTGATCTTCCCATCCTGGCCTCCCATGTAACTGGGACTACAGGTGCTCACTACTATGCTGGGCTAATTTTTTCATTTTTGTGGAGACCAGGTCTCTCTCTGTTGCCCAGGCCAGTCCCTAAATATTTTCAACCTGCAGCTGGTTGAATTCACGGACGCAAACTCGCATACACAGAGGGCTCACTGTAATCAGAGTATGAAAGAAACATGTAGGAAGGCAAATCAAGAAAGAACGCAGGCCGGGCGCAGTGGCTTACGCCTGCAATTCCAGCATTTTGGGAGGCCGAGGCAGGCGGATCACTTGAGGTCGGGAGTTTGTGACCAGCCTGGCCAACATGGTGAAACCCTGTCTCTACTAAACATACAAAAAATTAGCCAGGCATGGTCATGGACAGCTGTAATCCCAGCTACCTGGGAAGCTGAAGGAAGAGAAACCGCCTGGGAGGCGGAGGTTACAGTGAGCCGAGACTGCACCACTGTAATCCAGCCTGAGTGACAGAGGAAAAAAAAGAGAATGCAGAATTGGGGACACAGAGGAGGGAAGAGTTTCTTATACCTGTTGTCTGGAAGCTGCAATGGGAAGGGCCAAGCTCTTGGGGTGGAGTCAACATGAAGGCCTGGGTAGGTTCATCCTCCATGCTCTGGACTGCTGTACAGGAAAAGATGGCCTAAGTTCATCTCCTCCATACTACTGTAGGGTTCCATTCCTGGTCTCCTACCCTACCCATACTAGCCTTTACCCTTCAAGGACCACCAGTCTAATCTCCCAGCTCCCACTGGTACAGGATTCAAATAACACAGAAGTCCTCACCTTCCAGGCCCTGATTCTCCAGAAAGCACTGGGTAGCTTGTAGGTCCAGATCTTCAGAATCTGGTCGGGGAGGAATATAAGACAGTTTAAAACAAAAATCATACCTGACACTAAACTCCTTAAATAATCTCTACCTTTCTCTCCCCAACCCCAGCTGTTAGAACCCTGGTTGATTTCAGAGGTCAAGGAAGGAAGGCCAGCACTTACCACCATAGTTGTCTTCAGAGTCCTTGGTCCCACCCACATGTTGTTCTCTCTCCCTTCCTGTGGGGACCTGGGCTCCCTCTCTCTGTGGCTGGGTGGATTCCCCTAGAGTGTCTGTGTCCACCACCAGATCTGTGAGGTTCTCTCTTGAGATAGGGAGGTCCTGCTCCACTTGTGCCACAGGTGGCCCACCCTGGGCCCCCACCTCATGAGCTCTCTCCTGCTTAAGAACAGCTGCAGCCCACTCTGCCCCAGCATCCCCTTCTGCTGGAAGCTGGCTCTTTCTTACATCTGCAACTACTGAGGCTGTTAGGGAGGTGCCCTCCTCTGCATCTGTTTCACAGTCCCCATGCAGAGGCCAGGCTTCCTCTAGAGATACCACAAGCAGCTTTGCTGGTCCCCCAACTGCTTTCACATCTGTTTGATTTGTCCCCTCCACAGACACCTGATGCTTCTTTATATGTATAATGGCTGACCCTGGCGGGACTTCCTTCTCCACTTGTGTGTTGATGTCCACTGTGGTGGAGGCTTGGCTTCTCTCCAGGTGGATCCCAGGTGAGCTCTTATCTGCTTCCACACTGTCATCACTGTCCCCAAAAGGAGGTTGGTCCTTTTCTGAATGTGCTCTAACAAGGGCTCTAATCTTTGTGTGATCCTTGAGGACAGCTTCTCTATTTTCCACTGGGAGCTCTTCCTCCTCCACGTCTGTGTCACTGTCTCTCTCAGTGGTGGTTTGGCTTCGCTGCAGAAGGACCACACGTTGGGGCATGTCCTCTTCTGCATCTCTGTTCCATATAGCAGGCTGGCTCTCTTTCAGATGTGCCAAAGTCAGCGCTGCTGAGACTTCTTCCTCGTCATCTGTATCGCTGTTGATAACCATGGAAGCTTGGCTTTTCTCCAGAGGGACAGCCTGTGGGGCCTTGCCTTCTTCCACATCTGTATCACTACCAGCCTGGCTCTCCTGCAGATGGGCCAGGCCTGGTGCTCCAGGACCCCTTGTACCTACTCCATGGAAGATCTTCCTCTTCTTCATAGGAATGACAACTGGGGTTGCTGGGATCCTCTCTTCTTCCGCATCAGTGTCGCTGTCGATGAAGCCAAAAGGCTGAGCCCTTTCCAAATGGACCTCAGCTGGCCTTCCAGGAGGCCTGCTGTCATCATCCACATCTGTGTCACTGTCCTCTCCAGGAGGTTGGCTCCTCTCCAGAATCACCCCAGCTGGAACCACCCCATTCCCTGCACCCCTCTTGACTTTTGTATCATTGTCCCTCTCCTTCACTAAAGGCTGATCCTTTTCAAGCTGGATTTCAGTTACAACTTCAGCTTCAGACTGCTTTGCCTCTACAGTGGCACCTCTTCTGGCAGCTGAGGAGGCCTCCTCTGTGGCTGGTTGCTGACCTTCTTCCACATCTGTGTCACTGTTCAAATTGAAGGCAAAAGGCGGCCCAAGGCCGCCCAGGACCGGGGAATGCCCCTCTTCATCACTGTGAAGGGAAGAAAAGAGAGTCTATAGAATTTATTTCCCTGGAAGGGATACCCCAACTCAACTGTGAGCTCCTTGAGGGGAGACACAAGGTAGCATATTTCTTCTTCTGTTTCCAATTTGTTTTCCACTTGGCACATCAGATGTGCTCCATAAAAATTCAGCTGAGTGAATGAATATGTATGGTTCCCCAGCCCCAACTCTCATGATAATCATCTCTTTTAGAGATTGATCCTCCAGCCCCTGGTTCTTCCTCATTTTGAAGACTCAGGTGTCTGACTCTTTGGCACTCACCTCTCTGGAACTATCACAGAGGAAGATGTGGTCCTTGATTTTTTTACCATACGCCTTTCAGAAAGAAAATCTGTCAAGAACAGAAAGGAATGAGTTGACAATTGTACACTCATTATTCCTGTCTCCTCATTCTCCCTGCCAATATACAAACTTACCTACTTCCTCCTCCGAGTCCTCAGCCAACAGAAGCCTCTGGGGTTGAGTTTCTCCCTGTACTCTGGGTGTCTCTTCTACTGTCAGAGGGCCCCGGGAGACAAAGGGCAGAGAGACATCCAGGCGATGGTACTGGCAGAGCAAGTCAGCAAAGAGAATCAATTCCTGGTCCCTCAGACGGTGACTCACCCCAGGGCTCAAAACCTTAGGAGGTCTCAGGATTTGAGTACCATTAAGGCTCCCACAGTCTCGGAGGATAGGTGCCTTGTCCCAGGCTAAGATTTCAATCTCTGCATGTTGTTTGGAGATAGATGGAAAGGGCAGGGCCACAGAGCAGTCAGGCATTCGGCCTACCACATTCTTCCCGAGGTGTAGTGGGAAATCTAAGAATTAGAGAGGTAGATAAGCTCCAAGATCAGAGTCCTGGCCTGTCATTAGGAAAAAGTGCCTATTAGGTACTCTACTACTCACTCAAGGCCTCCATATGCATTAGAAAAATAAAAGGCCCTAGGACATCTAGGCACTGAAAGAGTATATGCGATACCCCATCCATCCACAATGGATGTTTTTTTACTGTTATAAAATACACATAACACAAAATGTATCACCTTAATAATTTTAAGTGTATAGTTCAGTGGCATTAAGTGCATTCACACTGTTGTGCAATCATCACTACCATCCATCTCCAGAGCACACAATTGGATTTTATTTGATTTTTTTTTTTTTTTTGAGACAGGGTCTCATTCTGTCACCCAGGCTAGAATGCAGTGTCATGATCATAGATCAGTGCAATCTTGAACTCTTGGGTTCAAGTGATCATCTGGCTCAGCCTCCCAAGTAGGTGGGACTGCAGATGTGAAATGAACCACCACACCTGGCTAATTTTTAAATTTTTCGTAGAGACAGGGTTTTGCTATGCTACCCAGGCTGGTCTCTAACTCCTAGTCTCAAGTGATCCTTCTGCCTTGGCCTCTCAAAGCACGGGAATTACAGGTGTGAGTCACTGCACCCAGCTTCATTTCAATCTCTTAATTTTCTTTTATCAAAGTAAAATCACTTCCAGTGAGTCCAGGGTAGTAGTCTGCAACTATCAACTCAATCGGCCCCATCTCTTCCATTCATGAAAAAAAAAAATTCACATCTCATTGAAACATACATAAGCTTCTTGCAACCCTCCAAATACCTTACCACAAAAATAAAAGATCTATATCAATACTTGAACATCCAATACCCTCTGACCTTTTTCTGGTCCATGGGCACCACTAAAGATATGTAGCCGCCCTACTGGCTCCACGTTACACCTCAAGGATTCACTGGATTGCTCTGTCTCCTCCTCTTCTTCAACATCCCAGTCAATAGCCTGGGTGTCCTCCATGATCTGGGAAGGATACACATTATCAATTATCCTCATTATTGGTTCACACAAACAGCATCAGAGTTATCAGACTGAAAACTAGGGGGTAAACTGGATCATTATGAACGTTGATGCTTCTCTTTCCACCAATCTTTCTGTTGTTAACCTTCTGAAGCACTTAAAACATTTTTTTCTTTTTTGTGATGGAGTCTCGTTCTGCTCCCCAGGCTGGCATGCAGTGGTAAGATCTTGGGCCCACGGCAACCTCTGCCTCCCGGGTTTCAAGCAATTCTCTCACCTCAGCCTCCCAAGTAGCTGAGATTACAGGCACCTGCCACCATGCCTGGCTAATTTTTGTATTTTTAGAAGAGATGGGGTTTTGCCATATTGGCCAGGGTGGACTCGAACTCTTGACCTTGGGTGATCCGCCCACCTTGGCCTCCCAAAGTGCTGGGATTACAGGCGTGAGCCACTGCGCCCCGTTGTTTTTCTTTCTTTTTTAGCCCATGCTTTTTATACTTTTACCAGACCACCTCAGTTTGATCAGATGCAACTGCAAAAAATGATAATAAAAGATGACATATATAGAAGCTTCCTATGTGTCAAGCACTGTTCTAATTACTTTATATCGACTCTGACTCATTTAATCTTCACAAGAACCTTGTAAAGTAGTATTACTATCTTCCATTTCTTCAGATAAAGAAACTGCAACATAGCTGGGTTAAGATTTTCAGATCTCCTTGAAACATACATAAGCATATATAAGGTTAAGACTTGCCCCAAATCACTCAGATGTCTCTCCTCTAAAATCTTGATGGTTTTTCGTGCACACAGAATAAAATCTAAACTCCTTAGCGAGACCCTCCATGATCTGAACTTCACATCTTGTAACGCCTACCCCTCGCCCGCAAAAGCCTATGGTTCAGCCAGACATTTTCCCCAGTCTTCGAACACACTGTTCTTGTCTTCCCACATCTTCATGCCTTAGCCCAATTCCTTGGCTTTTTCCCACCTAGTTTTCTGGTCCAACTTCTACCATCCTTTAAGATTCAGTTCAAATGTCACTTTCTTTCTTTTTTTTTTTTTTGAGATGGAATCTCGCTCTGTCGTCCAGGCTGGACTGCAGTGGTGCTATCTTGGCTCACTGCAACCTCTGCCTCCAGGCTTCAAGCGATTCTCCTGCCTCAGCCTCCCGAGCAGCTGGGATTACAGGCGCCCGGCATCACGCCTGGCTAATTTTTGTATTTTTAGTAGAGACGGGGTTTCACCACGGTCTCGAGCTCCTGACCTCAGGTGATCCGCCCACCTTGGCCACCCAAAGTGTTGGGATTACAGCAGTGAGCAACCGCGCCCGGCCTCAAATGTCACTTTCTCAGCAAACCCTTTCCTGGCGTGTTCCCTGCCTTCTCGTGTTCCTGGTGTATCCTGCCTGTTCCACAGTGGTCAATGGATTTGTGCTTACTCTAAGATCTCTCGCTATATTGTAACCATTACTTTCCATTTCTGCCTTCACACTCACCCACCTCCAGGACTGGATTAGGGGAACCGTGTCTTTCCCCTAGGGTCCATCATATTCATTCAATGGTTATGGTATACCTGTTTGAAGTATTTGGTATACATCTGTGAACCAAACATGAAATCGACCCTGCCCTCGGGAAGGCTCATCACCGAGCCTACTGATGAAGGAACAAATGAGATGGAAAGAAAATAGCATAAATGGAATTCACCTGAAAATATGCCACTCTAGAGGGAAACTGTTGACAGGTAGGGAAAGTAGGATGCCCCATGGATAAAGTGTCAACTCCGTCTTTATGACAGGCCAACTCAGCGGGTGCCCACCACGCTTGGCTCCAATTCAAAGAGCCACCATCTTTGGTCCCCACCTCAGTGGGTTCCCTTGTGGCCCGACGTCTCCCTGTGTCTTCATACCTAAACTCGGAGCGGGGCGCCAGGTAAGGATGAGTATTACAGTCCGAGAAGCGAACTTCCAAGTCACCTCCGCCCAGTCGCACCCAAGGTACGCCCCTCCCGCCTTCTGGGGGAACCAAGATGGCTCCCGGGGAGCCGTGGGCCAGGCCCCTAGAACTCACCTACTTTAAGTCCCCGCGCGCGCCACCAGTAACGGTCGCGACCCGGGTGGAGCGACTGCGTGTGCCGAAAAAGAGCTTATTTGCTGATTGGCTTCTGCCGCTGTCTTTCACAACCGCAGCCAGTCGAGCGGAGGCACACCCAAAGCCCCGCCCCCTTAGAGTTCAAATAGGTGGTGTCTCCCAGGCTGCTGAGATCAGTTAATGAGACGGTAATTGAAGGCCGCCGTGCGCCAACAGAATAATGCACGTCGATTGGGCAGCTCCAAGGGACAACCCACTACCGCTTGCCCGCCCACCACCCACTTCCCGCGCAGTTCCAAACCGCGACCAGAGAGTCTGGCGCCAGCTGCCGGCAACGGATAGAGGGGCTGTGTCATAGACGTCCGACGTGTCTGGTAAGGCCAGAGCGCCTTTCCTCGGTCCTCCTAGACATGGTGTCCGCTGACTCATGAGAAATGAAAGTGGGTTGCGCGTTGCAGTCGTGGCTGGAGGCTGCAGTTTGGAGAACAGCCCGTAGGCGTGGCAGTTCACTCCTGTTGCATTGGAATTTCATTTCCTTTTGATTTGGTTTGTAGTAGAAGTAATATCTTTCTTCCTGGGAATACGTCTCTGACGGACATTTTGAGGTCATTTTCTTAAATCCAAGATCCTAAAGATCTGTAGTCGAACAGAGAAAACTGGTTTGCTCTCTGTCTTAAAGGCTGTCCCCACCTTTCGAGGGGCGAGGGAAGGATCATAAAATCATTTATTTTTATTTTTTAATTAACTAATTTATCTATTTTTTGAGATGGAGTTTTGCTCTTGTTGCCCAGGCTGGAGTGCAATGGCGCGATCTCGACTCACCGCAACCTCTGCCTCCCAGGTTCAAGCGATTCTCCTGCCTCAACCTCCCAAGTAGCTGGGATTACAGGCATGCGCCACCACGCCCAGCTTATTTTTGTATTTTTAGTAGAGACGTGGTTTCTCCATGTTGGTCAGGCTGGTCTCGAACTTCTGACCTCAGGTGATCCGCCCGCCTCGGCCTCTCAAAGTGGTGGGATTACAGGCGTAAACCACCGCATGCGGCCATCTATATTTTATTTTTTGAGACGGACTTTCGCTCTTGTTGCCTAGGCTGGAGTGCAATGGCGCGATCTCGACTCACCGCAACCTCCGCCTTCTGGGTTCAAGCAATTCTCCTGTCTCAGCCTCCCGAGTAGCTGGGATTACAGGCATGCGCTACCACGCCCGGCTAATTTTGTATTTTTAGTAGAGACGGGGTTTCTCCATGTTGGTCAGTCTGGTCTCAAACTCCGGACCTCAGGTGATTCTCCCGCCTGGGCCTCCCAATGTGCTGGGATTACAGGCGTAAGCCACTGCGCCCGGCCTATTTTATCTCACAATAAGACATGAAGAAAATGGTAACTATAACACTTGCATAATTCATAAAGTCCTTTCTGTTGGTTATCTCAATTCTGTGCACAACAGTCAAATAAGCAGATTTTACAAACGAGGAGCTGGAGCCCTGCAAAGTTAAAGGACTTTCCTAGGATCCTACAGCTAATATAGAGACAAATTGAAACAAGTTATCTGATTGTGTATTTTGAGTTATTTCTACTCCCACAAAATGACTGTGTTCATTTCCCTAAAACGTAAAGCATTATATTTTAAGTGGGTAGAGAGGGCTTACACAAGTTGATGTTCCCTCATTTAGAAGGCAACTTAGAAATACATTGATCTGCCCAGCGCGGTGGCTCACGCCTGTAATCCCAGCACTTTGGGAGGCAAAGGCGGGCGAATCACGAGGTGAGGATATCGAGACCATCCTGGCTAACACAGTGAAACCCTGTCTCTACTAAAAATACAAAAAAAAAAAAAGAAATACATTGATCTGTGTGATCGAATGTGAATTAACAATGACGTTGACTTGATACTACATTTCTGAGTGGTTACCACATTTTATTGATTGTATGCTTCTCACCAGACTGCAACATCCTGGAGGACAGGGAGCTAATTCTTAATCATTTTGTAACCATAGCTCCTAATTTGGTGGATACATAGTAACTATCAAATAAGTGAATAATAAATCTATGGGAAGAAGCAGATGGACTCCGTCTTGAACCCACTCAATTTTTCCCCCATCAATTACCCCTCTCTCGTTTTTCAATACTGGGTCTCTTGCAGAGTTGCAGTGGCGGCCACCTGGTCAGTGAAATCAGCGAATTGAAAAACCACTGACTTCATTAACATGTCTAAAGAGGCAGGCTGAAAAAACTGAAAATCTATCAGGCATCTCATTCCATAGTTCCCTGTTTGACAAGAAGACCAAGGTGTCTTCAAAGTCTGCCCTAAGGTCCAGATCTCCTACCCACGTAGGAGACTTCTAGTTTCACAAATCCCCGATGTCGGTTTCTCTAAACTATTTTATTCTTTGAACATACTCTCCAGACAACATCGCTATCCTGAAAAGCCCTTGCTGCAATTTTGTTTCTCTTTCAAAACAATGGCTCGAAAATTTCCAAGGAAATAGCAAGAGGGCGATTCCCTTCTTGAAGTATTTGAGGGAGCAGAAGCTTACTGAAGTTCATGCCTTGGGTCACCAAAGGCCAGGGGAGGCAGAGCACGGTGCCAGACTTCTCCCCATTTTTCGCTGAACTAAGCAATCCTTTCTCCCCTAGAGGTACTGCAGCTGGGAGCTTTCAGGGCGTGTCTTCCCCACCACCCAACTTCTGGAACCCCAGACTTCTCAATTCCTGTACCCCCAAGAACTGCTCACTTTTTGTACAAAAACCTCAGGCATAGAGGAAAGGAATCTTGCGCAAGGTCGTTTTTCATTTACAAAACAAAAACCCCATGAAAACCAAACCGGTACCCACCCATTCGTCACTTCATTTTGCAGCATGGACAACAATAGGGGACTACAACTCCCAAAGAGGACTGCGCTCGTCCACTGGCTCAGAGGCCAATGGACGCCTGGTACATGACCGGCATCGACTAATCAGGGCCAGGCTCGATGAGGCTTTGTCTCCCTACCGCGCGCGGGGCCGATTCTCCCGCCTCCCAGCCCCGGCGCACGCGCGCCCCGCCCAGCCTGCTTTCCCTCCGCGCCCTCCCCTCTCCTTTCTCCCTCTCAGAACCTTCCTGCCGTCGCGTTTGCACCTCGCTGCTCCAGCCTCTGGGGCGCATTCCAACCTTCCAGCCTGCGACCTGCGGAGAAAAAAAATTACTTATTTTCTTGCCCCATACATACCTTGAGGCGAGCAAAAAAATTAAATTTTAACCATGAGGGAAATCGTGCACATCCAGGCTGGTCAGTGTGGCAACCAGATCGGTGCCAAGGTAAGAATTTTACACCTCTTTTATTTCTTTTTACAAGGAAAAATCCAGGTAAGTTATGAAAAAATGGTTGTGGGGCATTTGCACCCGCTATCCTTAATCAAGATTTGCCCCTCTCAAGTTTGTTACATTTATATATATAACAATTGTAGCTAGCATTTGCCTTTGGAAAGCTGGGAATCATTTTTCTTGGCAGGCACATTTTGGAGAAACTAGTAAAAGGGCTCTTCGGGTTTGGGGGCGGGAAGACCGAGGACTTATAAGATGTTACTTAAAAGGGCTTCTAACGGTCCGAGAACCGGGCAGGGAGAGAGATGCGGAAACGGTCGCAGACAAAGCGGGGCGAGGTTTTGCCCATGTGCATCCCGCCCAACCCCCCTGCGGGGTACTTAGGGCCAAACCGGAGCGGGAAGGGGTGAGGCCATCGGGCGGCTGCAGAGAGCTCCAGCGCAAGGGTGGGGGGCGATGCGCCAGGGTGGGCTGCGCTGGGCGCTACCTTTCACAAAAGACCAGGGACCCCAACGCGCCCGCGACCCCAGAGGGCCGGTCCTGTATTTGTTCCTGGGTGGAAGGAGAATAAGAACGGGATTAATTTTACTTGCTTTCATGGCCCCTAAGAGAGACTTTTTTAGGGCGTGAACAGATATGTCGAGAAAATGGGGGTGTGTGGTTTTCTTTAATGAGTCCCTCAGGACTTAATGGGAGAGAAAGAATCCTTTAAATCAAGGGGTAGAAATGTAGCGAAGGAATAAAAATTCCGAGGCCAAGGGGGATTTTTTTTTTTTGCGCGCGGTTACAGTGTAGCGGGGGAGGGGCGGGAGGAAGTGCGGCTGCTACGTTGTAGCAGAAGGGCGGGGCCCTGCGGGGCGGGGCCGGGGCGCCGTGGGCGCGCGGGGACAATGCGGCGTTGCCCGCCGGCAGGGGCGCGCTACCTTGGGCCCCGCCCCTCGCGCGCGGAATTTTTGTCCCTGGCCCCGCCCACGCGCGAAGTCTTTTGTCGGCGGCTCGACCTGCGCGTGCGCCGCAGTCACGTGGAGGGCGGGGGGGGTGGTCGACTGCGGCGGCAGCTCTTTCCTCAGACCCCCAGCCTTTTGTGCGCCGCGCGGTGGGGCGGTGCCCAGCTTGGGGGAAGGAGAGCGGCGCTTATCGAAGTGTGGTCGACCTCCATCCGCCCACCGAGCACTTGGGACCCGCTGCACATATCCAGAGCAGGGAAAGCTGTGGCTTTCTCGGGGGAGCGAGTGTCTAGGGGAAGGGTGTGGCAGGCCCACGGGATGCCATGCCCTAGAACAACGGCCTGAGCGCTTGTGGAATTAAAATGGGAGATGTGGGGCCGAGGTGGGCGAATTGGGATCCCTCCAGGTCAGGGGTTCGAGACCATCCTGGGCAACAAAGCGAGACCCTCCCCCATGCCACGTTTCTACAAAAAATAAAAGTAAAAAATTAGCTGGGCGTGGTGGCGCGCGTCTGTGGTCCCAGCTACTCGAGAGGCTGAGATGGGAGGATCGGTTGAGCCTGGGAGTTCCACGCTGTAGTCATCCGTGATTGCACCACTGCACTGCAGGCTGGGCAACAGGAAGACCCTGTCTTAAAAATTAGAAGAAGCTGGGCGCGGTGGCTCACCCTTGTAATCCCAGCACTTTGGGAGGCCAAGGTGGGCGGATCACGAGGTCAAGAGATCTAGACCATCCTGGCCAACATGGTGAAACCCGTCTCTACTAAAAATACAAAAAGTAGCTGGGCGTGTTGGTGCGCGCCTATAGTCCCAGCTACTCCGGGGGCTGAGGCAGGAGAATCGCTTGAACCCGGGAAGCAGAGGTTGCAGTGAGCCGAGATAGCGCCACTGCACTCCAGCCTGGTGACAGAGCGAGACTCCGTCTCAAAAAAAATTAAGAAAAAGATGAAATAAAATGGTAGTTGGGGACATAGTTGGCTGGGACTTGACCTGTTGTGGTCTCGTTGCTCCCCCTCGGCAGTTCTGGGAGGTGATCAGTGATGAACATGGCATCGACCCCACCGGCACCTACCACGGGGACAGCGACCTGCAGCTGGACCGCATCTCTGTGTACTACAATGAAGCCACAGGTAAGGGCAGGAGCCCGGGCAGCTCAGGTTCCCTTCCCTGTCTCCCACTTATCTGGGATCTCTTTCCATTTCTGGGCACGCCTTATCCCCTTTGGGTGAATCTGTCATTTTGTCCCTTTCGTGAACCACCGTCGGGGCCAAAGACGTCTGCTGCCACCTGGTGGCGGGACCTGGAATGACAAGTCTCTGATCCCTGCTGTCTCCCATTTCCAGTATATCTATAAACCTTCCCTTCTGCCAGATTTCACAGCTCTTAACTTTATTCTCTGTAGGTGGCAAATATGTTCCTCGTGCCATCCTGGTGGATCTAGAACCTGGGACCATGGACTCTGTTCGCTCAGGTCCTTTTGGCCAGATCTTTAGACCAGACAACTTTGTATTTGGTGAGTTATACAGATGATATTAGCAGATGATATACCATCGTGTTCAACTTATTTGGGTGCAAGGACACAGCAAAAGTTAGGAGATGATTGTTGTATTGGAGTGCTAATACAGAAATGTGTTCTGAAATCTAACGGAGGGTAGAGGTAGTGCCTACTATTGCTGGTAAATTATGGGGCAGTAGGGGGAGAATATATCACAGTGAAGGAGAAAGAAGATACATCCGAGGGAATTATTTGAAAAGTTGAAAGATGGAAACATCATGTATCTTCCATACCCTGTTAATTGAGCTTTTCTCCTGACTGCATTCCAGGTCAGTCTGGGGCAGGTAACAACTGGGCCAAAGGCCACTACACAGAGGGCGCCGAGCTGGTTGATTCTGTCCTGGATGTGGTACGGAAGGAGGCAGAGAGCTGTGACTGCCTGCAGGGCTTCCAGCTGACCCACTCACTGGGCGGGGGCACAGGCTCTGGAATGGGCACTCTCCTTATCAGCAAGATCCGAGAAGAATACCCTGATCGCATCATGAATACCTTCAGTGTGGTGCCTTCACCCAAAGTGTCTGACACCGTGGTCGAGCCCTACAATGCCACCCTCTCCGTCCATCAGTTGGTAGAGAATACTGATGAGACCTATTGCATTGACAACGAGGCCCTCTATGATATCTGCTTCCGCACTCTGAAGCTGACCACACCAACCTACGGGGATCTGAACCACCTTGTCTCAGCCACCATGAGTGGTGTCACCACCTGCCTCCGTTTCCCTGGCCAGCTCAATGCTGACCTCCGCAAGTTGGCAGTCAACATGGTCCCCTTCCCACGTCTCCATTTCTTTATGCCTGGCTTTGCCCCTCTCACCAGCCGTGGAAGCCAGCAGTATCGAGCTCTCACAGTGCCGGAACTCACCCAGCAGGTCTTCGATGCCAAGAACATGATGGCTGCCTGTGACCCCCGCCACGGCCGATACCTCACCGTGGCTGCTGTCTTCCGTGGTCGGATGTCCATGAAGGAGGTCGATGAGCAGATGCTTAACGTGCAGAACAAGAACAGCAGCTACTTTGTGGAATGGATCCCCAACAATGTCAAGACAGCCGTCTGTGACATCCCACCTCGTGGCCTCAAGATGGCAGTCACCTTCATTGGCAATAGCACAGCCATCCAGGAGCTCTTCAAGCGCATCTCGGAGCAGTTCACTGCCATGTTCCGCCGGAAGGCCTTCCTCCACTGGTACACAGGCGAGGGCATGGACGAGATGGAGTTCACCGAGGCTGAGAGCAACATGAACGACCTCGTCTCTGAGTATCAGCAGTACCAGGATGCCACCGCAGAAGAGGAGGAGGATTTCGGTGAGGAGGCCGAAGAGGAGGCCTAAGGCAGAGCCCCCATCACCTCAGGCTTCTCAGTTCCCTTAGCCGTCTTACTCAACTGCCCCTTTCCTCTCCCTCAGAATTTGTGTTTGCTGCCTCTATCTTGTTTTTTGTTTTTTCTTCTGGGGGGGGTCTAGAACAGTGCCTGGCACATAGTAGGCGCTCAATAAATACTTGTTTGTTGAATGTCTCCTCTCTCTTTCCACTCTGGGAAACCTAGGTTTCTGCCATTCTGGGTGACCCTGTATTTCTTTCTGGTGCCCATTCCATTTGTCCAGTTAATACTTCCTCTTAAAAATCTCCAAGAAGCTGGGTCTCCAGATCCCATTTAGAACCAACCAGGTGCTGAAAACACATGTAGATAATGGCCATCATCCTAAGCCCAAAGTAGAAAATGGTAGAAGGTAGTGGGTAGAAGTCACTATATAAGGAAGGGGATGGGATTTTCCATTCTAAAAGTTTTGGAGAGGGAAATCCAGGCTATTAAAGTCACTAAATTTCTAAGTATGTCCATTTCCCATCTCAGCTTCAAGGGAGGTGTCAGCAGTATTATCTCCACTTTCAATCTCCCTCCAAGCTCTACTCTGGAGGAGTCTGTCCCACTCTGTCAAGTGGAATCCTTCCCTTTCCAACTCTACCTCCCTCACTCAGCTCCTTTCCCCTGATCAGAGAAAGGGATCAAGGGGGTTGGGAGGGGGGAAAGAGACCAGCCTTGGTCCCTAAGCCTCCAGAAACGTCTTCTTAATCCCCACCTTTTCTTACTCCCAAAAAAGAATGAACACCCCTGACTCTGGAGTGGTGTATACTGCCACATCAGTGTTTGAGTCAGTCCCCAGAGGAGAGGGGAACCCTCCTCCATCTTTTTTGCAACATCTCATTTCTTCCTTTTGCTGTTGCTTCCCCCCTCACACACTTGGTTTTGTTCTATCCTACATTTGAGATTTCTATTTTATGTTGAACTTGCTGCTTTTTTTCATATTGAAAAGATGACATCGCCCCAAGAGCCAAAAATAAATGGGAATTGAAAAAAGCTGCGAGATGTGTGCTTATTTAGGGAAACACGGCTGGCTGATGGAGGCATGGGGCCTGAGTTCAGTTGCACTGCTCTCCTTAAATTGACACTTAATATTGAGTCCCTGTCCTACGGATTCAACCAACTGGATATTGGGAAAAGAGTTGTACTGGACATGTATAGACTTCTCATTATTCCCTAAACAATAATAGTATAAATTATTTACATAATATTTGCATTAGATTAGGTATTACAAGTAACGTAGAGATGATTTGAAGTACACAGGTTATATGCAAGTACTACATTTTATATGAGGGACTTGGGTGTCTGCCGATTTGGTATCTCAGGGAGGTACTGGTAAGGACACTGACTGCTTTATAGACCCTCACATCATTGTTTCTGGTACCCAAACTGCTCTGAGCACCAGTCAGTCTTTACTGTAGTCTCTGACAGCTCACTACAGCCTTGATGTCCTGGGCTCAAACAATCCATCTCATTCTCCCAAGCAGCTGGGACTGTAGGCATAAGCCAGGTGAGCCAGTGCACCAGGCCCACCAATGAGTCTTAACTGGGGAAGGCATAGGCTTAGATGCAGGATCCAGGGATGGAAAATGGAAGCTGAGAAGAATGACAAATCACGTGTAACTGGTTTCCAGACCAGCATCCACATCCTCTGGGAACTTGCAGAAATAAATGCAAGTTTTTCATCCCACCCAGATGTACTGAACCATAAATGGTTGAACTGGCCTTGGCCACCCAGCCCAGGATTCCTTTGGGTTATGTGTACCCATGGCCATTTCCTGTGATCCTGTGGGCTTAGTCAACCTATGACACCAAGATAACTAGTGAAGCCCTGGTATGGTGGCTCCCACTTGTAATCCCAGCACTCTGGGGGGCCGAGGCAGGAGGATGGCTTGAGCCCAGGAGTTCCACACCAGCCTGGGCAGCAGTGAACCATCTAACAAAAAAAAAAGCTGGGCATGGTGGTGCATGCCTGTAGTCCCAGCTGCTGGGGTAGAGGGGGGTGGTGGTTGTTGGGGGTAGGGGGGTGGGGATTGGATGGGAGGATTGCCTGAGCCTGGGAGGTAGAGGCTGCAATGAGCCCTGACCCTACCCCTGCACCCCAGCCTGGGTGACAGAGCAAGACCTTGTCTTTTTTTTTCTTTTTTCTTGAGATGGAGTCTTGCTATGTTGCCCAGGTTGGAGCACATTGGCGCGATCTTGGCTCGCTACAACCTCTGCCTCCCGGGTTCAAGGAATTCTGCCTCAGCTTCCCAAGTAGCTGGGATTACAGGCACCCACCATCACGCCGGGCTAATTTTTGTATTTTAGTAGAGATGGGGTTTCACCACGTTGGCCAGGACTGGTCTCAAACTCCTGACCTCAAGTGATCCACCCGTCTCAGCCTCCCAAAAAGTTCTGGGACTACAAGCATGAGCCACCGTGCCCGGCCCAAGCCCAAGACCTTGTCTTTAAAAAAAAAAAAGGATAACTAGGCGGGATTGCTACCTTATGGTCCCATTCTAAAACAATCTGTACCATCTACTACCTCATACTTTTAAGTTCACAATGCAAGTCTCAAAGCTACCCTGAAAACAATAATTCCTTTTGCCATGTTTTCAGGAATTCTAGGAACTAGTATTATTCCCAACATTCCTTCTATTTTAGCATGCTTTTCTGACTATAATACACTGTTGGGGGGAAAAATTAACTCTAAAACTCTTGACAGTATATAAGTAACTTGCTTTTCTCCCATTCTAGAAAGCCTATTGTATGCAAGAAAGCCTATTGTATGCAAGGGAAGAAGCTACATTCTAGCATTCATTTTCTTTCTAATAGAGCCAGGATCTTGCTTTGTCACCCAGGCTGGAATGCAGTGGTGTGATCATGGCTCACTACAGCCTTAGACTCCTGAGCTCAAGTGATCCTCCCACCTTAGCCTCCCAAGTAGCTAGGACTATAGGCAAGAGTCACCATACCTGAGTCTAGCATTCATTTTTTTTCTCTTTTTTTTTGAAACAGTCTCACTCTGTCACCTAGGCTAGAGTGCAGTGGTGCGATCTTGGCTCACTGCAACCTCTGCTTCCCAGGTTCAAGTAATTCTCCTGCCTCAGCCTCCCAAGTAGCTGGGACTACTACTTGGCATGTTTCACCCTGCCTGGCTAATTTTTGTATTTTTGGTAGAGACAAGGTTTCGTCATGTTGGCCAGGCTGGTCTTGAACTCCTGACCTCAGATGATCTGCCTGCCTTGGCCTCCCAAAGTGCTGGGATTACAGGCATGAGCCACTGTGCCGGGCCAAGCATTAATTTCCAGTTGCTTCTGTTTTATTAGTACTTACTTACAGCAATTTATTTGGGTAGCAAAGTTGAAAACCTCCAGCCCATCCCTCAGTCTTGGTCAGGAAAATATTCTAGACAACAGGCTCAAACAGTCTGATTTAATTAGGAAGTTAAATAAGTTGAGGTGGGGTGGAGTGGGATCATCAGAAGGCTGACATGGGACCGCTGGAGTTGGCAATCATAGCAGTGTGAGGTTGGCAAGGGGAGCAACCCCCTTCAAGACAAGGCACAAACTATTTGGCAAGGAGAGATGAGGGGTGGGACCTCACTGTCAATGGACATGCTCAGGGAGGCCAGTGGGTTACATGCAACAGGAGGATCATTCAGGCAACTTCAGCTATGAGGCTGGGCATCTGTGAGGGCTGAAGGCTCAGGCTGTTCTCAAAGGCTTGTGATTCACCTGGCAAAAAGACAACAGTAGATGACACTTGGGAACATTCGGGAGGCTGAGGCCCCTACTCTCCCGGGCCCCAGTTTAGACGAATGGGCTATAGGCAGAACACACACGGCCAGGGTTCTTTCTGGTGCCCTACCACCTGTTTCCCCAAACAAAGACATCAGGACCCACATACAATAAATCACTGAAGAGAGGAGAGGGGGCAGAGCCTTGTTTGCACACTCTCCTTAGCTCTGAATATTCTACTGCAGGCCTCCAGGAGGCTCCAAGGAACCCAGCTTGAAGGTCATTGGTATGATCCAGTGCTTTTATTTACATACGCTTTTTTTTTTCTTTTTTTTTTTGAGACGGAATCTCACTCTATCACCCAGGCTAGAATGCAGTGGTGCGATCTTGGCTTACTGCAGCCTCCGCCTCCTGAGTTCAAGTGATTCTCCTGCCTCAGCCTCCCGAGTAGCTGGGATTACAGGTATGCGCCACCATACCCAGCTAATTTTTGTATTTTTGGTAGAGATGGGGTATCACCATGTTGGCCAGGGTGATCTCAAACTTCTGACCTCAGCTGATCGTCCACCCTGGCCTCCCAAAGTTCTGGGATTACAAGTGTGAGCCACAGCACCCAGCCCGAATATGCATTTCTTTCTCTTTTTTTTTTTTGAGACAGAGTCTTGCTCTGTTGCCTAGGATGGAGTGCAGTGGTGCTATCTCGGCTCACTGCAAGCTCTGCCTCCCAGGTTCACACCATTCTCCTGCCTCAGCCTCCCCAGCAGCTGGGACTACAGGCACACACCGCCACGCCCGGCTGTTTTGTATTTTTAGTAGAGACGGGGTTTCACTGTGTTGGCCAGGATGGTCTCAATCTCCTGACCTCGTGATCCGCCCGCCTCAGCCTCCCAAAGTGCTGGGATTACAGGCATGAGCTACCGCGCCTGGAATTTTTTTTTTTTTTTGAGATAGAGTCTTATTCTGTCACCCAGGCTGGAGTGCAGTGGTGTGATCTCAGCTCACTGCAACCTTCGGCTCCTGGGTTCCAGCAATTCTCCTGCCTCAGCTTCCCGAGTAGCTGAGATTACAGGCATGCACCACCAAGCCTGGCTAATTTTTTTTTGTATTTTTAGTAAAGATGGTGTTTCACCATGTTGGCCAGGCTGGTCTCCAACTCCTAACCTCAGGTGATCTGCCTGCCTCAGCCTCCCAAAGTGCTGGGATTACAGGCGTAAGCCACTGCACCTGGCCCCATTTCTTTAACATACACATAATGCTTACTATATACCAGGCACTATTCTAAACACTGCAAATATTTGCTCGAGCCCCTCAACAATTCAACAGGGTAGTTTCTAATTATTAACCCAATTTTAAGATGAGGAAACAGGTATAGAGAGGTTGATTACTTGTCCAAGATTACAGCTAGCAGGCATTGTAGCTAGGATTCGCAACAAAACAGTGGTTCCAGAGCCTGTTTGCTGACTTCTACCATGATCTACAGGTGAATTAACTGGGGCGCTGAGAAAAGCAGTGATATGCCCTAGAATTAATTAACTGTCAATAGGCTGCAACTAGTTCCCTATACTAGTGGGGTGACCACAAGCACAGGTTGCAGAGACAGTCGACCTGGATTTCACTCCAGCTGCACTAGCAGAATGAGTAGGAACATGCTGGATGTTGAGTTTCTGGACTTTGTAAAATCCTATATACCCTAATGGTAGTTTGATTTAAAACAACTCATTTATGTAGAAGCTTAGCACTGTGTCTGGCACACAGAAAGTGATTAATAAACATCAATGACTCCCAGGCCTGGATGCTGGTTAAATGCTAGGCATACTGTGTCACACAACACAGGAACCTAGCAATTCTCCTCAGCTCCAACCTGAGACCTCACCTGGGAGATGCTCACGCCTGTGAGTCTTTCCACACTCTCTGGCAGGCGAGTTAGAATGTCCAGTACTTCCCCAGTCACTTTGGCTGCCCCCATGGTCCCACTGCCGCTGGACACCAGTGTGATCTTATTGGCTGAAGTCAAGGGACCACTGATCTCCTCTGCCACCTGGCAGGAGAGAGACACCCACTCAGTGCCCATGATCTGACCACATTCCTCATAAAACAACTTACTCTGGGTTTTAAGGTCCTCGTTCCACTGATCATCCTTCCTCACTTTGGTCACTAATAATTCCCACCCCTAATTTAGAGTCCCCCTAGGCTGTTTCTCCCTAAGCCCCTCACTACACCCCACCCCTTAGTCCCTGGTTCTATTTCCTCCTTTCTTGGTGCCCACATGACCTCCAGACCTGGGGCAGCTTCTCTAGCAGCATGTCCAGCTGAGCAGCCTCTTGGTACAGCTGGAAGGCTTCTGCCTTCTTGGCCATCTGCTCAGCCTCGGCTCGGGCTCGGGCCCCTATGGCAAAGGCCTCAGCTTCCCCACGCATCTGAGGGTTAAGGATGCTTGTGAGATTGACGGAAATCATTAAGAACAAGAAATCCCCGATCAAGCAGCAACCCCCACCCTCTCCACAAGCCAGCATGGAACTGCCTCTTAACTCACCCGCACAGACGCGGCTTCTGCCTCCGCCTGCATAATTAGTTGGGACCTGTGGACAGAAGGGAAGTGGAGGGTGGAGCCCAGCAGCCCTTACTCCCAGGAGAAAGGCCCAGTGCTGCAGAGGCAGACGCTCCTGAAACCTGAAATCCATAGGAGTCCAGGTGGTGAAGGCTTCAGCACTCCATCTTGGGGTGCCTAGGTGGCAAGTGAGCTAGGCAGGGTCAGGGAGGGGACATTTACTTCTCTGCCTCGGCTAGGCGCTCCAGCTTGTAGCGCTCCGCTTCCGCTGGCTTCCGCACCCGGGCCTCCAGCTCCTTCTCCCGCCGGGCGATCTCCTGCTCCTGCACTGCCACCTGCTGGGCCCGCTCCACCACCTGCACCTGCACCCGCTGCTCCTCAATCTGCTGCTTAGTCTTGGCCACCTGGGTAGGAGGGTGAAGTCAGGTTCACGCTCTGAGTCAGAGGTGAAGAGCAAGTGCCCGGGAACCAGAGCTCCAGAGTGGGATATAAAAATAGGAGCCGGTGGCCGGGCGCGGTGGCTCACGCCTGTAATCCTAGCGCTTTGGGAGGCCAAGGAGGGTGGATTGCCTGAGTTCAGGAGCTCGAGACCAGCCTGGCCAACATGGTGAAACCCTGTCTCTACTAAAATACAAAAAATTAGCCAGGTGTGGTGGCGAATGCCTGTAGTCCCAGCCACCCGGGAGGCTGAGGCAGGAGAATTGCTTGAACCTGGGAGGCGAAGGTTGCAGTGAGCTGGGATCACGCCACTGCACTCCACCCTGGGCAACAGAGTAAGACTCCATCTCCAAAAAAAAAAAAAAAAAAAAAAGGAGCAGGTGCATGAAGGTGGGTTCCCTCCTGTCTGCTTGGCCAGTCCAGTGGAGTCCAGTGTTTCTCTGATGAGCCCCCGTTTAATCTATTTTTCCCACGTGTGCCCCCTTCTAGAGTATAAATACCTTGAGGGCACTGAGCACATGTTGGCTTTCTGCTATCTCCAGTCTTGCTCAAATCCCCCCACTGTTGCTGCGATAACCTTAGTGCTAGCCTAGGCTACTGCAATAGCTGACTTATTTTTTGTGGGGGTGGGGACAGGTGATCTTTTTTGTCTTTTGCACATGGTGCAGATTTAACAGAAAAAAAAGTGAACCACGAGGCTTCTTCCTCATTCTCCAAACCACCTGGGTCCCTTTCCCAGAGAAACCACCAAGACCAGCTTCTTGTGTATCCTTCCAGGGATACTCTGAACATCTACAAGAATGTGTGTATTCATAGAATTCCTCTTATTTAGGCAGATTTCTTTCTTTTTTTTTGAGGCAGTTTCGCTCTATTGCCCAGGCTGGAGTGCAGTGGCACGATCAGCTCAGTGCAACCTTCACCTCCCAGGTTCAAGCTAATCTCTTGCCTCAGCCTCTCAAGTAGCTGGGACTACAGGCATGTGCTACCATGTCTGGCTAATTTTTGTATTTTTTTTAGTAGAGACGGGGTTTCACCATGTTGGCCAGGCTGGTCTCAAACTCCTGATCTCAAGTGATCCATCCGCCTCAGTTTCCCAAAGTGCTGGGATTACAGGCATGAGCCATCGCACCCAGCCTAGATTTCATCTTCTTATTCCTTGCAGTGTGAGGGAATCAGAAGGCTCTTATCAAGATGCTAGTGAGGAGAGGTGCCAGGCAAGGAACACATTTTTTTTTTCTTTTTGAGACATCATCTTACTCTGTCACCCAGGTTCAATGGCGTAATCATGGCTCACTGCAGCCTTGACCTGCCTGGGCTCAGATGATCCTCCCGCCTCCCCCTCTAGAGTAGCTGGGACTACAGGTGTGAACCAGCACACCCGGCTATTTTTTGTACTTTTTGTAGAGACAGGGTTTTCTATGTTGCCCAGGCTGATCTCAAACTCCTGGGCTCACGTGATCCACCTGCCTCGGCTTCCCAAAGTGTTGGGGTTACAGGCATGTGCCATCACACCCAGCCAGAACACATGCCTTCGTTGTCCCATTGCTCAGGCTCAGCCATGCACCATCATCATTGTAGGTCTCATCAATACATGTGATGCTTCCCCTGCCTCCTACCTTCCCCCGGGCCCATCTGTTCACTCCAGAGAGAAGCATAGCTCTGGAGACGGCACTCTGTACTGTCTTTCACCCTAAATTTTCAAACCCGTTCCAAACTGGCCTCGTTGCCCTCTACACCGGTGTGCAGGATCACCTCTCTCCTGTGTCCCTTAGGCAACCATTTGTCTGTTTCTTTTTCCTTCCTGTCTATGCCCACCTTTTGGTGAAACTCAACCTCCAGAAGCTTCCTCAGAAAGAATATAAAGACAATATTTTTTCTGAGGTCTTGCTTTCTCTGAGATTTTTATTCTACCTTTTTTTGAGATGGAATTTCGCTCTTGGCACCCAGGCTGGAGTGCAGTGACGCAGTCTTGGCTCACTGCAATCTCCATCTCCCAGGTTCAAGCAATTCTCCTGCCTCAGCCTCCCATGTATCTGGGATTATAGGTGCCTGCCACCACGCTCAGCTAATTTTTGTGTTTTTAATAGAGATGGGGTTCCACCACATTGGCCAGGCTGGTCTTGAACTCCTTATCTCAGGTGATCCACCTGCTTCGGCTTCCCAAAGTGCTGGGATTACAGGCGTTAGCCACTGCACCCGGCCTCTACCCTTCTATTTTAATACCAGTTAGGCTGAAAGCAGGCTGCTATGTTGGGATTAACTTTCCATCAGAATTCTGAAGGCATTCCTCCATGGTTTTCTAGCTTTTTAAGAAATCTGGGCTTGGGCCAGTCATGGTGGCTCATGCCTGTCATCCCAGCACTTTGGGAGGCTGAGGTGGGCAGATCACCTGAGGTCAGGAGTTCATGACCAGCCTGGTCAACGTGGTGAAACCCCGTCTCTACTAAAAATACAAAAATTAGCCAGCAATGGTGGCACATACCTGTAGTCCCAGCTACTTGGGAAGCTGAGGTAGGAGAATCGCTTGAACCCAGGAGGCAGAGGTTGCAGTAGCTGAGATCACGCCATTGCACTCCAGCCTGGGTGACAAGAGCAAAAATCCATCTCAAAAAAAAAAAAAAAAAAAAGAAAGCTGGGCTTGATGCAGTGGCTCATGCCTATAATCCCAGCACTTTGGGAGGCTAAGGTGGGAGGATAACTTGAACCCAGGAGTTCAAGACCAGCCTGTGCAATATGGCAAGATCTCACCTCTAGAAAAAAATTTAAAAATTAGCTGGGCGTGGTGGTGTGCCCCTGTGGTCCCAACTACTGGGGAGGCTGAGGTGGGAGAATCACTTGAGCCTGGGAGGTTGAGGTTACAGTGAGCCTTGTTTATGCCACTGTATTGGACAACAGAGCAAGACCCTGTCTCTGAAAAAAAAAAAAAAAAAAAAAAAAAAGGAATCTGAAGTCATTTTGAAGCCTGCCTCTTTGAGATCTCTCTCTCTCTAGAAGCTTTCATATTTTTTGTCCTCAGCATTCTTAAGTTTCACAGTGTTATGTTTCAATGTATATATTTTTCATTCATTGCATTGGGCACTTAGTAGACCATTTCAATCTAAAACCTCATTTTTATATAATTTTTCTCAGAATGTTTCTGCTCCCAATAAGTCATGCCACATTTGCATGTGCTTGACTTTTTTTTTTTTTTTTGGAGATGGAGTCTCGCTCTGTCACCCAGGCTGGAGTGCAGTGGCATGATCTCATCTCACTGCAACCTCTGCCTCCCAGGTTCAAGTGATTCTCCTGCCTCAGCCTCCCGAGTAGCTGGGACTGCAGGCGCGTACCACCACGCCTGGCTAATTTTTTGTATTTTTATAGAGTTGGGGTTTCACCGTGTTAGCCAGGATGGTCTCGATCTCCTGACCTCGTGAGCCACCCACCTTGGCCTCCCAAAGTGCTGGGATTACAGGCATGAGCCAACACCCCTGGCCCTGCTTGACTCTTATTAGTCCCTTTCCCTTACTTCCCTGCTTCTTTCTGTGGGGTTTTATTTTTCCCCTTTGTCAGCTCTTGCCAGGTTACCAAGCATACCCTGTCCCTGGCTTTCTTGGTTGCTCCCAAATCTGTGATGGCTTGCTCTGTTGCCCAGGCTGGAATGAAATGGCACGATCTCAGCTCACTGCAACCTCTGCCTCCCGGATTCAAGTGATTCTCCTGCCTCAGCCTCCTGAGTAGCTGGGATTACAGTCACCATTTCAGCTAATTTTTGTGTTTTTAGTAGAGACGGGGTTTCACCATGTTGGCCAGGCTGGTTTCAAACTCCTTTGTCATCTGCTCAGAGGGAAGAAGGTCTCAACACTGAAAGGAAGCTCTGAGTATGTGGGTGAGGCTTGCTGACTTTGAGCTTCACCCTACGGTGATCTGGATAGGCCATGTACGGAGAAACATCTGATTCAGGATTTTAAGTTATTTCTTTTTGGATTGGTCATGTTCCCCAGAGCAGTCTTCTGATCTCTTTTTTGGAAGATGGAAGTTCTGGGAGCTGAGTGGGGTTGAGGGGGTTGGGGTTGGGGTTGGCTCTCAGTATTTAGCATTCATGAAAGTTATAGTCATTTCATGCCCCTGTTACTGGTAAACTATCTAGGTCCTCACCTGTGCTGGGCCAGCCCCCATCACATCCTCTAGTCTACTCTCTTCAGATAATAGACTTCCAATGGCAGGTATGGTAACTCACACCTGTAATCCCAGCACATTGTGAGGCTGAGGTGGATGGATCACTTGAGGCTAGCAGTTCGAGACCAGCCTGGCCGACATGGTGAAACCCCTCTCTACTAAAAAAAAAAAAAAAAATACAAAAATTACCTGGGCGTGGTGGTGGGCACTTGTAATCCCAGTTGAGGATTACTTGGGAGGGTGAGGCACGAGAATCATTTGAACCCAGGAGGCAGAGGTTGCAGTGAGCCGAGACTGCGCCACTGCACCTGCACTCCAGCCTGGACAACAGAGTGAGAGACCCTGTCTCAAAAAAAACATAAATAAAATAGATAAATAAGATAATAAACCTCCAGATGTCTGTTGGAGCAGGGCAGGAACCATTACCCAGAGGCAGTGAGGGGCTCTGAGAAGGTGCTTTTCACATGTTCCTCTTATTTAACCAGTCTACCACAGCTGGAGAAGCACTGGGTGCTGCCAGCTCCTGAGCCTCAGATCATTTCATTGTTTTCCCTTTTGCAGGTTTCAAGCTCAGCTGTGTCATACCTGCTTAGTCAATTACTACTGACTTCCAGTTTCCAAAATGATGCTCTGGTTTCCGTTCCTATTTTCTCCATCTTTTTTTTTTTTAAAGCCTAGTCAGCTGGGCATGGTGGCTCACGCCTGTAATCCTAGCATTTTGGGAGGCTGAGGCGGGAAGGATCCTTTGAGCCCAGGAGTTTGAGACCAGCCTGGGCAACATGGTGAAATTCCGTCTCTACAAAACATACAAAAATTAGCCAGGCGTGGTGGCATATGTTTGTAGACCAAGCTACTCAGGAAGCTGAGGTGGGAGTATTGCTTGAGCCCAGGCAGTTGAAGCTGTAGTGAGCTGAGATTGTACCGCTGCACTCTAGCCTGGGGGACCGAGTAAGACCCGGTCTCAAAGAGGAGAGGAGAGAAGAAAGAAGAGAAGAGAAGGAAAGAAAGGAAGAAAGAAAGACTAATCAAGTGCAATAGTGAGAAGTAGGTAAAGAGTAGAACAAGGAGTTCAATCTGTAACTGACTGAACAATCAATTGAGATAACTCACTACCTTTGGACAAGCCTCTATCTTTACCTTAAAAAAAATCATTTTAGATCGCGCCACTGCACTCCAGCCTGGGCGACAGAGCGAGACTCCATCTCAAAAAAAAAAAAAATCATTTTGGCTTTAGTGAGGTTTTAGGAGAGAGTAAAATTAGCTACATTTGTTTAATCCATCATCTCTGAAAAAGAGCCCAACTCATCTTTTGCTTTTTTTTTTGAGACAGAGTCTCACTCTGTCATCCAGGCTGGAGTGCAGTGGCGCGATCTCGGCTCACTGCAAGCTCCGCCTCCCGGGTTTATGCCATTCTTCTGCCTCAGCCTCCCGAGTAGCTGGGACTACAGGTGCCTGCCACCACGCCCAGCTAATTTTTTGTATTTTTAGTAGAGACGGGGTTTCACCATGTTAGCCAGGATGGTCTCGATCTCCTGACCTCGTGATCTGCCCACCTCGGCCTCCCAAAGTGTTGGGATTACAGGTGTGAACCACCGCACCCGGCCTTGCTTCCTCTCTTTGCCCGTTCTCCACAAGGCAACCAGACTGATCCCTATACAAATATAAATAAGACCATGGCACCTTTCTGCTTGAAGTTCTCCAATAGCTTTCCACTGTGCTTTCAGTTCTCTTCTGTGTCTCCATCGTGACCACACAAACCCTTTGTGATCTGGCCCTGCCTGCCTTTCCTCCTCACTCACAGCACACCAGCGCCCCCAGATCAGAAACCTCCTTTCTGACTCCACCTCACAGCCTTTGCACTTACTGGTCCCCTGCCTAGCCACAAGCCACGTATGACTGACTGACTGACTGACTGTCTGTCGTCCGTCCGTCCGTCCGTCCGTCCGTCCGTCCATCCGTCCATCCGTCCATCCATCCATCCATATATCTATCTTAGAAGGAGTCTCGCTCTGTCGCCCAGGCTGGAGTGCGGTGGCGCAATCTCGGCTCACTGTGCCTTCTGGATTCAAGCGATTCTCACGCCTCAGCCTCCCAAGTAGCTGGAACTGCAGGCTCAAACCACCACACCCGGCTAATATTTTTTGTATTTTTGGTAGAGACAGGGTTTCACTGTTGGCCAGACTGGTCTCAAACTCCCGGCCTCAAGTGATCTTCCTGTCTCAGCCTCTCAAAGTGTTGGGATTACAGGCATGAACCACCGCGCCCAGCCACTTTTTAAGTATGACTACTTAAAAAGCACAGGCTAGAATATTCTTGGCTCAGAACTGTACATTGTTCCTTCTTATCTCCAAGTCTGATCTCAAACACCACTTCCTCATAGAAACTTTCTCTACCACCCGCTAACCTAATATACTAACTCCCCTCCCACAGTTTTTCACATCACCCTGTTTATTTCCTTCACAGCACCTAAACAAGAATTATAGCCTGGGAAGGTCATTTACTTGCTTACTAGCTGTTTCCTGTGTCATAATGTAAGCTGCATAAGGGCAGGAATCTTTTCTGCCTCACCTCCATATTTATAGCCTCACCTCCAAAATGGTGTCTAGCACATAGAAGGCACTTAACAGATATTTGTTGAATAAATCCTTCTTTCCTGAACACCTAGCACACTGCCTGGTGCATAACGAGAAACTGATAAAAGTTGAAAAGAGTCCAACCAGTCCAATCCCTTAATCTGCAGACAAGTAAGGTCATGTTTAGAAGGTTAAGAACCTTATCCATAGCTTCACTGCAAGCTAGCAGTTTCCATCATGGTAACCCTTTTCAAACTCAAACTCCAATGTGCATACAAATCACCTAGGAATTCACCTTGAGATTTTGTTAAAATGCAGGTTCTGATTCAGCTGGTCAGGGCCAGGGCCTGCAATTTTGTATTTCTAACAAGCTTCGCAGTGATGCTGCAGCTGCTGCTGGGTAGAACACAGTTTGAGTTGCAAAGCTGTATGCCATGTTCAACCTGTCAAGTCACCCAGGAATTTAACATAATAACAAAAGATGTTTTTACCTTCATTATGCTTTCAGCCTGTACCAACTCTTGGCAAAAACAAAATGCATAATATTGCTATCCTTTGGGTAAAGGTCTCAAAGTACAGTTGATTTTCATTGTTCTTGGTAGTTCTGTTCTATAAAGTAGCCATGAATGCTGAATTAGTTAATACCTAATTTGTTCCTAGAAGAAATACAGGCTAGGTTCCCGTGAGCCTCTGGTCAAAACATTTTCATCAACTGATCAACATAGAGCCTTGCTTTATATGTGTTTCTGTTTAAAGACACCTTATGTAAAATATATTGTTGATTCATTAACACTGAACTCACAGCTAACAGCAGTATAACTTATGCATGAACGAAGCTTACCTAACACATGTATTTCTCCCATAAGGCACATCATAGCCCGCTTGCACTAAAGGACACTAGACAGCACTACAGCACTGATGCTTGGGGGCCATTTTAAAGAGTGAATTCACCAATAAAAAGCACAAAAATGCAAAAAACACGGCAGTAAATACACTGTGAAAATAACACGGCTTACGGTATGAGAGCTGAAACAAGGCAGCAGAGCATCTCCTTGATCAACCTCACCTGGGTACTGTGCGTGTCTGCAAAAGATCCTGAAAGTGCTGCGACTTTATTGGTAACCTTTTGAGGTTACCAATACATTTTAGTGAATAGGCAAATTCTCAGATACGAATAATGAAGAATGAAGATCAACTATACTTCCTGGCAATATCAAGGGCTGCCCATATCTCACTTTGCAGGATTCAATGTCCAAGTCCATGTTTTCCTTCTTCATACCCTTTTTTAATTAACCAGGGCTGCCGCTAGCCCATAGCATGCCTCTGTGCAAATCAGAAATTCCTCTGTGTAGATGCAGACCCATGTCAGAATGCACTGCTTGATTAGAGGGGCATGGGCCGGATCTGAGCTCGGATCCACTTTCTCAGTCAGATGCCTTTGCACGGGCACAGCCTGCTCCAAACATATGATCAGCCTTATTGATCATATCCCTTCTTGGCCTTCTCTTTTTTTTTTTTCTTTTTTTGAGATGGAGTCTCACTCTGTCACCCAGGCTGGAGTGCAATGGCGTGGTCTCAGCTCACTGCAACCTCTGTCTCCCGGGTTCAAGCAATTCTCCGGCCTCAGCCTCCCAAGTAGCTGGGACTACAGGTGCGTGCCACCATACCTGGCTAATTTTTGTATTTTTAGTAGAAACAGGGTTTCACTATGTTGGCCAGGCTAGTCTCGAACTCTTGACCTTGTGATCCACCTGCCTTGGCCTACCAAAGTGCTGGGATTACAGGCATGAGCCACCGCGCGTGGCCTTTTTTTTCTCTTTTTTGGACAGGATTTCACTGTCACCCAGGCTGGAGTGCAGTAGTGTGATCTCGACTCACTGCAACCTGCGCATCCTGGCTCAAGCAATCCTCCTGCCTCATACCCCAAGTAGCTGTGACTACAGGCCCGAGCTGCCATGCCTGGCTAATGTTTGTATTTTTCGCATAGACACGGTTTCACCATGTTGCCCAGGCTGGCCTTGAACTCCTGAGGTCAAGCAATCAGCCCGCCTTGGCCTCCCAAAGTGCTGGGATTACAGGCATGAGTCACCACACCCGGCTGGCCTTTTCTTTAAAGCTTTTCAGCTGTAACGTCTGAGTCTTTTAAATCTCTCCTCATATGGGGGAGTTGGTCCAGAGATGGAGAGCCAGAATAAGACCAAAGTTAAAGTATGAGAAATAGTGTAGTGGTGTCCTGAGATGGACAGCCTGAGAGGAATGGGGAAGGGGCAGAGAGTGGCCTGGCAGTGGCTCTGACCTGAAGCTGATAGGCCAGGTCAGCCTGTGCTCGGCGGGTGTTGACCTCGATGTCATAGGCGGCCTTCTTCAGTTCGTAATCTCTCTGTGCCTTGGCCATCTCGATCTCACTCAGGTACTGAGCAGACACCTTTTCCTGCTTGGCTTTAGCTTCCTGTCCAAGCAGAGATCAGGTAGGAAATGTCAGGGCAGGGGGAGAAAGGCCACGGTGACAGCCTGCTTCCCACCAAGGTTCTCTTTCTGCCTCATGTATTTTCCCTGCTCACCCAGCACCCCTGCTTCTTCTCAGTTGTGCCACTTCTATCCCCTTTCCCACTAAGCAACCCCCATCTCTCTCACCCGGATCCCAGCATCTCTCTTGGCCTCTGCTTCTCCAATCCGTGCATCTTTTTGGACTTGAGCTGTTCGAGCCTTCCCCAAAGAGTGCAAATAGTCCTGTGGGAGAGATGTAGAAATTAGTCCTTTGGAGGGCTTAAGAGATGGGAGCAAGGAAGTGGGGAAGGATCAATTGCCTAGTTTTACCTGGTCATCGTGAATGTCCTTCAGAGTGTAGCTAACCACACTGATGCCCATGTTGACCAGGTCTGAGGAGGCCACTTTGAAAACCTGTTCTGAGAATTTCTGCCTGTCCTTATAGATCTCCTGTGATAACAGGATGGTGGGGAGAAGGGATGTAAGTTTTTTTTTTTTTTTTTTTTTTGCTCACTGCAACCTCTGCCTCCTGGGTTCAAGTGATTCTCCTGCCTCAGCCTCCCAAGTAGCTGGGATTACCGACACCCATCACCATACCCAGCTAATTTTTGTATTTGTAGTAGAGAAGGGGTTTCACCAGGTTGGCTAGGCTGGTCTCGAACTCCTGACCTCAAGTGATCTGCCCACCTTGGCATCCCAAAGTGCTGGGATTACAGGCATGAACCACCCTGCCCGGCCGGGATGTATGCTCTTGGATCCACTGTCTCTCACAGACTAGTGTGGGCCTTGGGCCCCCCTCATTTTGACATCCTTCCAGATGGTTCCCTGCCCCTAGGCCAACCTCCACAGTCATGTGGGCCATGATGGCCCTCTGGTGGCCCTCTAACGTCTCCAGGGCAATGTGGGCAATCTCAGCCTCCGTCTTCCCCAGGAACATCTGACAGGCGGCCGCCAACATCTCCTTGTTCTGCCCCTGGATTTTTACCTGTAGCCAGAGTAGGGGTAGGAAAGGTGTGGTGGGGGTCTCATGAAGTCAGAGAAAAAGCAGAGAGAGAAGGGAGAGCCCTCTAAGAAATGCTTCTTCCATTTCAGGGAAAGAAAGGAGGAGGAGGCAAGTGCCTTGGGGTGCCTGGAAAAGATGAGACTAGCAGAGGAACTTCTCTGCAGGCAAGGGTTGAGAAGACTGTGGCCAGAAGATGTCTTAATGTCTGGGAGAGAGGGTGATGGGGAAGTGGACTGTGGGGAAAAGGCTCTGAAAGCTTCACCTGGGCAATGCCAGTGACTGAGATGGGGACCCCATGGCGAGTGTAAACCTTTTCACTCTTGACATTGAGGGTCAGTGTGTTGAGAGAGATCCTAGGGGAAAAAGAAGGGACAGACAGTAAGAAGAGGAGGAAAAAGAGAAAACGGAGGTCCCCCTTCCCTGGTTCCCTTCTTGCCTACCTCTGGATCTGTTGGATGCAGGGCAGGACAAAGACACGCCCTCCAGCCACCATGACTGGGGGGCTTCGGCAGAACCCTGCAAGGTGTGGGGCAGTGAGGAACGGTGGCAGAGCTTGAATGTGGAAGACTGAGGAACTGGCGGGGGTGAGGGGACAGCAACCCACAGGAGAGAATCTGGGAGCTGGAGGGGAAGCAGTCTGGGCCTTGGAATGGTGGGAATCAAACTGGGCAGTTCGTGGCCATCAAGGGGCAGAAGTCTGGTGCTGGGAAGTTGGTAGGGAGAGGGAGAAGGGGCAGAGGCCAGACTCACAGGGGTTCTGGGGTCACTGGCTGGGAAGGGAACAACAGTACTTACCGGAGACCACCATGGCCTCATTTGGGCCACAAGTGAAAAACATGGTTCAGGCTGGAGCTGGAGGAGAGGGAGGGAAAGCCTTTGCGGATGGGGAAGGCGCGCTGTGGCGTCCACAGGGGCCCATCCTTTCCCTTTCCCGTCAGGCCCTCCCAGTCTGCATCCGCCACGGCCCGTCCCTTCTACACCCATGGGTCCGCTAAGGCTTTTCCCTACAAAATCCTTAAGATCCCCAGCTACCTCTTCTCCGCCTGCGTATGGTCCCTCCCTTCCCCTCGCCGCTCCCTTTGATAAAGGTCCCCCGCGCCCAGAGGCCTGCAGACCTTTCCCCTCTCTCCCTGCTTCTCGGCAGCCCCAGGCTCCATCTCCCCTCCCCCACTCACCTTCCGGGACGCGGGCGGCAGCCCGGCTGGGGTCTCGGGAAGGGCGGGGTCGCGCAGGGACCTGGGAGCCGGGCAGGGGCCGCTCGCAGACCAGCTTTCCTGGGAGCTGGCCCCGCTCCCGCGTTCCCCACCCTGCCGCACCCCGTTGCTGCGGCAGACGCGACCCCGCCCCCCGCAACGGACTAAGCACCCCCACTTCGCCCCGCCTCGGCCCAGTGCGCTCGGCCCGCCCCTTTCCCGGCAGGCCCCGCTAGAGTCCGCAGCCCGCCCGCCCGCTGGCTCTCGGGCCCAGCCGGGCTGCCTGGTTAGCCCGGGGAGGGCCACATCCCTGCCGCCCCAGTCACCGCCCTTCTTGAGCCGGGAATCCCGCCCACGCCGCGCCACGCTCCGCCCCCGGGTGAGGGACTTGACCTCCGCCTGGCACCCTGGCGTAAGGGTGATTGCCACATCTCGGATTCGCCGCGGGGCAACTACCTGGGAAAACCGCAGACTGGGCAATGAAAGACTACATCCGGCAACCGGATGCTGGGTTCTGTGACTCCAGGAAAAGGGGCTCCTGGGCCCAGGGAGGTGCGCGGGCTGGGGACTCGGCCACGGCGCCTCCCGCCGGTCCTTGCCATCTGAAGGCCGGGAGGAGTGGGGAGTCGGCGCTTGCAAAGATACACTCAAGACTGCAGACAGTAAATCAATTTTATTTGTGTTCACAGAACATACTAGGCGATCTCGACAGTCGCTCCGTGACAGCCCACCAACCCCCAACCCTCTACCTCGCAGCCACCCTAAAGGCGACTTCAAGAAGATGGAAGGATCTCACGGATCTCATTCCTAATGGTCCGCCGAAGTCTCACACAGTAGACAGACGGAGTTGAGATGCTGGAGGATGCAGTCACCTCCTAAACTTACGACCCACCACCAGACTTCATCCCAGCCGGGACGTCCTCCCCCACCCGAGTCCTCCCCATTTCTTCTCCTACTTTGCCGCAGTTCCAGGTGTCCTGCTTCCACCAGTCCCACAAAGCTCAATAAATACCAAGAGACCTGCATTTACAGCAGGGGGAACATCTCACACCCTTGCATAAGTTAAAATAAATATTACGTACACATCTCCATCACCTAGGAGGACGTACATAAATACATATAAATATTAATTAGGAGCAATAAGAAATAAATTAACGACGCTCTCCTTCCCACCGGGCCTAGCCCCAGCTGGGCTGTGCCTCGGTCTCTATGCGCCTCGGTCTCTGTGCGCCTCGGTCCCGCCTCAAGCACCGGGTGGCGTCTCCGCTGTAGTGTTCTGAGTTCAAGTTGCCTCGGAAGTCCCAGTTGGGGATACGCTCTCGCGCACCAGGTACGCCTGGTGTTTCTTTGTGGTTTTTCGGATTCTTTTTGGGGAGTGCGGGGAGTCACAGTTAGAAGGCGGCCGGGTGTTGCTGGAGGAAAGTGCTGAGGTCCAGAGCGTAGTCCGAGGGCTCCGAAGTCAGATTAAAGGGCTCGAGGACGGGGGACACAGGGGTGGGCGCCAGGGATGCGGCGTTAGGGGCGTCCTCTGGAGGCAGGGGCGCCGGCACACCCTCTTCAGCCATCAGGATCTGGCAGAAGACGATGGTGAGCAGCAGAAAGAGAAGCCTTTTGGCTGGGTTCGGTTCCTCGACTGGCAGCTGGCGCCGGACCTAAGGGGAGACAAAACAGGAGACAGGTCAGGTCGAGGCCTCTGGAGTCGGGTCGTTCCCCAGTGACTCCAGGGCAGCGCACCCCGCGAATGCCCACTTCGGCGATACTCACCACTCGAGGGTAGAGAACCCTGCGGCTGCGCTTTCGGTGCCCGCGAGAGGCGCTGGGGCGCCCGGCAGGGGCCGCTGCGGGCTCCGGGAGAGGGTCGAAGGTGAAGATCTCAGGACCGGAGCCCCGCCGGGGTCCCGGGATGGTGGAGGGGGCCGGGGTCGGGGCCTGCAGGATGGTCATGGTCGGGTGGCAGCTGCGAGAGTGACACATGGTGAGCCGAGCGGAGTGTAAGGCCAAGTGAGGGTCGGCTGCCGGCAGAGGTAATTTATGTGCTCCTGAAAATTGGGCGGGTCCTTCTAACTCCTCCTCCCGCAGCTGGGGAGCGGTTGGCAGCAGCGGGCTGGAAATTCCGACGATTAAACAAAGGGAGTGGGTGGAGACTTGACATGCACAATCCTAGGCGCCCAACTGCACGTTGTGAGTGTGTGAGTCGTGAGTGGGGGTGGGTGAGATCCCGGGCTGCAGGCACATGTCGAGGCATGTGGCACCTGGAGAGGGGCTCACTTTAGCCACAGGATCCCTCACAGGCCTTTTTTTTTTTTTTTTTTTGGAGATGGAGCAGTCTCGTTCGGTCGCCAGGCTGGAATGCAGAGGCGCGATCTCGGCTCACTGCAACCCCTGACTCCCTGGTTCAAGCGATTTTCCTGCCTCAGCTTCCTGAGTAGCTGGGAATACAGGCACGCGCCACCACGCCCAGCTAATTTTTGTATTTTTAGTAGAGACGGGGTTTCACCCTGTTGGCCAGGGTGGTCTCGATTTCCTGACCTCGTGATCTGCCTCGCTCCCTCCGTCCTTCTTCTAGTAGTCTCAAGTTGCTATTGTTGCCATCTTTACGTCCACGAGTTCCCAATGTTTGGTTCCCACTTATAAGTGAGAATGTATGGTATTTGGTTTGCCCGCCTCGGCCTCCCAAAGTGCTGGGATTACAGGCGTGAGCCACCGTGCCCTGCCAAGAGGGCTTTTTATTGGAGATCAGGCCATCCTGCTGCAATACTGACCCAGTTATATGCACGCATTCATGCACTTGTAGGTATCCTTAGAATATAAACTCCCCAAGAAGGAAATTGTTACAGAAATAGTCAAGATTAAGGGAGAAATGAACACACTAGCACACACAGACACAAACCTGCCTGCCTGAGCACACATGAAGACACACACCGCGTAGCCATACAAAAGAACAAAATTATGTGCTTTGCAGCAACATGGATGCGGCTGGTGGCCATTATCCTAAGCGGATTAACTCAGGAACAGAAAACCAAATACCACACATTCTCACTTATAAGTGGGAACCAAACATTGGGAACTCATGGACATAAAGATGGCAACAATAGCAACTTGAGACCAGTAGAAGAAGGACG
The DNA here is from genome assembly GCF_000001405.40 of Homo sapiens. NCBI lineage: Eukaryota > Metazoa > Chordata > Mammalia > Primates > Hominidae > Homo > Homo sapiens. Next base: position 2,001,518 of record NT_167245.2, read on the forward strand.
GAGGGAGTAAGGCAAAGGTTGAAACACTAACTATTGGGTACTATGCTCAGTACCTGGGTGACAGGATCATTCATACCCCAAACCTCAGCATCATGCAGTATACCTAGGTAACAAACCTGCACATATACCCCAGAATTTAAAATAAAAGTTGGGGAGGGAGGGAAGGATAGAAAGATTAAAAAAGTAATACACAATGGTGGGGCATGGTGGCTCTTGCCTGTAATCCTAGCATTTTGGGGGGCTAAGGTGGGAGGATCACTTGAGCTCAGGAGCCTGGGCAACATAGTGAGACCTTGTCACTATAAAATAACAACAACAACAACAACAATACACAATTAAATATTATTCAGCCATAAAAAGAATGCAATCCTGGAAAAAAAGGAAAACATACCACGTACACCTACCAACACACATGTACACAGTAAAGGTGCAAAGACTGTATAGGGACAGTTCAGCAAAACTACTCTCTTAGGAGCGTGCAGAAATATTCACATAAAGGCTGGTGCAGAGGGCCACAAATACAAAGGCAATAGGTTAGCAGCCACCCAGATTTGCCCCTTGCTGTAAGTCAAACAACCAAATTTATGGGACAAACATTCTAAATTGTGAGACATTATACAAATGTTACAGTAATGGTAATTACTCAACTTAAAGCAGATTCACATTTCCATAACTTCCTTACAGACAGCTGCTCATGGACACAGAATTTAACTTTTTTTTTTTGTTTTGAGACAGGATCTGGCTTTGTCGCCCAGGTTGAAGTGCAGTGGCATGATCTCGGCTGACTGCAACCTCTGCCTCTTGGCTCAAGCCATACTCCTACCTCAGCCTCCTGAGTAGCTGGGACCACAGGTGAGCACCACCATGCCTGGCTAATATATATATATATATATATATATATATATATATATATAAATATATATATATATATAAATATATATATATATATATATAAATATATATATATATATAAATATATATATATATATATAAATATATATATATATATAAATATATATATATATATAAATATATATATATATATATAAAATTTTTTGTAGAGCCAGGGTTTTGCCATGTTGCCCAGGCTGGTCTTGAACTCCTGAGCTCAACCAATCTGCCTGCCTCGGCCTCCCAAAGTGCTGGCAGCCACCGTGCAGAATTTAACATCTTTTGAGCATTCACCTGTTTCAGGCGCCCTCTGTTGAGGGTACTACTGTTGAGAGTCCTGAGGCTAGTTTCAGTATAAGTGCTGTGCCATGCAGCTGCCTGAGGAAAGCCAGATAAAGCTGATACTCCAGCCATGAGGGCCTTACCCTCCGGCATGAGGAGGGAACCATGGCCAGGAGAGCTCTCTATCTGTCTGTCTCTGTTGCTCTCTCTCTCTCTCTTTTTTTGTTATATTGAGTTTCTGCCTGAAGGAAAGGCAAGCTTTCTTGAAGATCCTAAGAAAGGCCAGGCACGGTGGTTCACACCTGTAATCCCAACACTTTGGCAGGCCGAGGCGGGTGGATCATTTGAGGTCAGGAGTTCGAGACCAGCCTGGTCAACATGGTGAAACCCTGTTTCTACTAAAAATACAAAAATTAGCCAAGCATGGTGGCGCATGTCTGTAATCCCAGCTACTCGGGAGGCTGAGGCAGGAGAATCGCTTGAACTCAGGAGGCAGAGGTTGCAGCAAGCTGAGAGCGTGCCACTGCACTCCAGCCTGGGTGACAGAGTGAGACCCTGTCTCAAAAAAACAAGAACAAAACAAAAAACAAAAACAAAAACAAAAAAACCTAAGAAAACTGAAGACTAAGTGTTAAGGGGGGGACCCAAAAGAGCTAGTGTTCACATCTGTCCAATCAATCAGGGGAGGCTTCATGGAAGAGTGGCACTGAAGGTGACCTTGAACAGTGGGTGGGATATGACAAATTCAGATGTGGAGGATGACTGTAAGAATGGAATTAGCAAAGACCTTGAGCTGGAAAAGTACAGGATGTGTTTGGGGAATCACAAGAAAAACAATCTCAGAGTAAGTTTCCTGTAACGGAGTAGTGGGAAGTAATAATGGCTGGAAAGGAGTGGAATTGGGCAGAGTGGGGAGAGCAGAGCTGCCAGGTCAGGAGCCTGGGTTTCACTCTAGACTGTAGAGCTTGTGGGTTGCTGGATGAGATAAAGGGAGGAAAATTCAAGCAGGAAACTGATTGGGATGAGGAGTGATGCTCTGGACGGGTAGAGACTAAGGCAGTAGACAGGAGGCTATTGGAGGGGCTCAGGTAGATGATAACAAGAGCCTGAGAAGGTGGCCCTAAGAGACATTCCTAGCATAAGATAATCAGAATTGGGCAATGAGATGGATATCATTAGGGGAAGGGAGCATGGGAGAGGGAGAGTTGCCGACAGCAAGAGGATGAAAAGATCTGAGATGACTCCAGAGATTTGAAATACATCTGGCTCAGATCTTTCTACCATCATTTTAAGCCTGGTGCACAAAGTGAATACATATATGATCTCTTCCACTGGAGGCTGTGTCATACACATCTTTGTGTCCTCCAGAGAACCCAGCATGGTACCTTGTAGGCAGCAGTTGCTCAATAATCTTGTTAAATGCCAGGTGAAATGTACAACTGTAAGTGTGCATGTAGTATTCCCACCTTGGCTGGGTCACACCAAGCTTCTGAGATGTGGCTACACTCCTCCAAACCACTCATACAAATGTACAACATCTTTAGAAAAGCTGGGACAATTCTTACACAGACACCAAACAGGAAACACTTTTCTCCCCTCCCACTTAGGAAACACTTAAAAGGATTTTTCAATCAAGAACATGTAGGAACACAAATAAGAGGACAGGCCACAACCGGCTAGAAATACACTACTGCTCTGTGTACAATTCCTGGGCCTACAAGTCACTTTATTTTATACTCACTACTCTTATCTAAATACACAAGATCCCTTCCACATTACACACTTCTTCCTGGCTGGCATAAAACACACCTCCTCTGTAAACAAAGGCGCATTGCTTTCCCACGCCTGTCTTCACACCTGCCATCATTCTTACATTTACACCCAAGCACAGGGAGCCCACCACCCCCAACATCCTTATTCCAAGGCAACTCGCACGCTACACAATGACCAACATAAACCCATGACTACTTACACATGTGGACAGACCCTCACACTCACATAAACATAAATTGGGAGTAGGGGGAGATAGTGATGATGGAAGAAAACTAGTGGGTGGGAGAGAGAGAGAAGCACCAAAGGTTAGGAATGCATTACTTGTTTATGATGGAAAATTTCTCTAGGGCATTAGGCAGAGGAGGGGAAATGAAGGGGATGCCAGGATCTTGTTTTGCCACTACCTCCCACATCTGGAATCTGGGCCTCCAGCTGGGTCTAGTTATCCTCGCTGTCCTCCCGGCACAGAGAGACCTTTCTTTGTGGCAAGACCAGAATGGGACAAAGAGAAGACCTGAGAACCCGGACTGCTCACCATTCCCAACCAATCCCATCCCCATTCCTGCTACCCTCAGAGCCCTAGGGCTCTGCTCCTGCTCCTTCCTGCCACACAGGAAGCTAGGGAAATGTTGGGGGTGAATCATTAAGCCAATAAGGGGGTGGGGGAGTGCAGGCTGGGGAATGAGTTAAGGCCAGAAAGTGCCAGGGGCTGAGACGAGCAACTGGACTGGCTCCCACTGCCCTGATACTGGAGAAACAGGCCCTTAGCCTCCTCCATTTCCAGCTCTCCTCCTCATTTCCTTCCCATCTTCCCCCAGATCACCATGTTCCTTCATTTCCCTCGTTTGACCTTTGCCTTGATCCATCACCACTGCTAGCCTCCTTCTCAGCCCCTTGTTTTTCTTCATGACACATATCACGTTGGGGAATCATTTTATGTATTTGCTTTTTGCTGTTGTTTGTCCCGCCTACTGGAATATAATCTCCACGAGTGTACAGGGCCACATCTGACCTTTTTCTCATTAGATCTCTGTAGTATCTCCAGTACTTGGCTGTCACCTAGTAGGAACTTAATAAATATTCTTAAATCTGTCTCCTCCGAGGAGCTAAACCTCATCTGCAGAGAGGTCTGTTTATCTAGCCATGTTCCTTTAGAGGCCCCCATGTTTGCTCTTCAAAGAGGAGGTTGGGGGCACTCAGGTGTGGCTCAGGTGATCCGCCGCTGAATCAGGAACAATTGTGCAGTGACGACAGCGACAGCAAAGCCCTGGCCCGCGCCCTTTACAATCCCTGACATAGGAGTGAGTCAGGCCTGCTGCCTCACCTGGGTACTGCTGCACTGCTGACCACAGGCCCAGAACGGGGGAAGGCAAGAATGGGCACTGGCGGAGGCAGAATGGGCAGGGGAAAGGGAGGCAGAGATTTGGAAATGGGAGCATCTGAGAAAGGAAAGCAGGGTGAAGGGACTGCACCAGGGTCCTGGGGGTAGGGAATGACAAAGTGAAAGCTTTTTAGCTGCACCTGGTATTCAGTAGATCCTCAATAACTACTTGGTGACTTGAGATGGGTTTGAGATAGAAAGGAAACACGGAATAGCAAAAAGAACATATTGTAATCTAGTGGTGTTAGACGAAATTGGGTTTAAGTGCCAGCTCTGCTACTTATTAACTAGGCAATATTGGGCCAGTTACTTAATGTTGCTGAAAATCTGTTTCCTCAATTGATAAATGGGCAAATTGACCTCTAGGTAACTGCAAAGGTTAAGCATATAAATTTACTCCTTCTGGGCACATAGTAGGTGCTTCTTGCATGGAGCAGGGGCATTATTATAATTATGAGAAGAGGGACTGCTTTGGAACAGGGATGGGCAGCAGTGAGCCAACCCAGGAGTAGGGAACTGGAATGAGAAAGTAACCTCTAACTGCTAACATCACCAGGAGATACAAGTTCTTTCTCTTTTTACTCTGCCCTCCCTCCCTCTCCATATCAGGCAGGTTTTGTGGCTCTTTATTTTCCAGAGAAGCAAAGACTTCTGCATTCCTAGTTCCTGTTCAACTAATGTGAGTGATTTTATTTTTTTATGTATGTATTTATTTATTTTTTGAGACAAGATCTCACTCTCTCACCCAGGCTGGAGTGCAGTGGCATAAACATGGCTCACTGCAACCTCAACCTCCTGGGCTCAAGTGATCCTCCCACCTCAGCCTCTTGAGTAGCTGGGACTCCAGGAACGTGCCACCATGCCCAGCTAATTTTTATTTATTTTGGTAGAGACAGGGTCTTGCCATGTTGCCCAGGCAGGTCTCAAAATTCTGGGCTCAAGCGATCCTCCCGCCTCAACCTCCCAAAGTGTTGGGATTACAGGCGTGAGCCACAAAGTCTGGCCTTTATTTATTTAAAAAATTTAGTTTGGCTGGGCGTGGTGGCTCACGCCCATAATCCCAGCACTTTGGGAGGTTGAGGTGGGTGGATCACGAGGTCAGGAGTTCGAGACCAGCCTGGCCAACATGGCAAAACCCCGTCTCTACCAAAAATACAAAAATTAGCTGGGCGTGGTGGCGTGTGCCTGTAATCCCAGCTACTCGGGAGGCTGAAGCAGGAGAATTGCCTGAACCAGGGAGGCAGAGGTTGCAGTGAGCTGAGATTGCACCACTGCACTCCAGCCTGGGCGACGAGAGTGAAACTCCGTCTTAAAAAAAAAGAAAGTCTTACTCTGTCGTCCAGGCTGGAGTGCAGTGGCACAATCTCGGCTCACTGCAACCTCTGCCTCCCGGGTTCAGGCGATTCTCCTGCTTCAGCCTCCCGAGTAGCGCATGCCACCATGCCCGGCTAATTTTTGTATTTTTGGTAGAGATAAGGTTTCACCATGTTGGCCAGGCTGGTCTGGAAAACTCCTGACCTCACGTGATCCGCCCCCTCGGCCTCCCAAAGTGCTGGGATTACGGGCGTGAGCCACCACACCCAGCAAAAAAAAAAATTTGTTTTTACTCACCACTATACTGACAAGGAACAGGTGATTTTAAACATCCCCTCCCACCTACATTTTAGCTGGAACAATTCTCCAGAGGCATGGGGGTAGAGTGGGGTGGTGAGTTCTAGGCAGCAAGTTAACAAATGACCCCTAAAGATATTCATCTAGGCTCTAGGAGGCCCAAAATCAGGCCCTGGCAGTTCCCCTGACGCAAAACCATGGCAAGAGTTCCGGGAGCACCAAGGCAAGGTCACAAAAGTGGCACGATGACCCTACCCTGGGATGCAGCTCAGCCTGACCCAGCCCAACTCAACCCAGCTACCCTGGAGGCTGCTATAAGCTGAGCCGGGAGCTGGGAAAGGGCCCAGCATTCCTGTCCTTCTGCCAAAGCCGGCTTCTTAGGACCCCAGTGTTGTGGCTCCTCCTTTGGTCTTGGTTTCTTTCCCACCAGATTATAACTCCACCAGAGTAGGACTTTATCTATCTTGTGTACTGCTCTATTTTCAGTGCCTAGAACTGTGCCTGTCAATCAATACAGGCTGCTGAAAAGGCTAGAAATACAGGATCGTTGATGTCATTACTGTTACAGTGCTGTTCCCGTGGGAAGCAGCCTGCATCTCTCTGTAGACAGCTCCAATGTCAGCCATTGGAGAATTTGATGGAGATTGAAGTCAAAACATAATCATAGGGGAAAAATGCACAACAAATAAAATATTTCCCCTTTTGTCCAGACTTTTCAGACACCCCGTATTTACTGGATGAGTTGATCTACAAAGTGAAAGGCATAAATTAAAGGCTCTCTAATGTTTCTCCTCCTCTGAAACCCCATGATTCAGCAGCGTCTCCCATGTGTGCTCAAAAGTTGGACGTGCCTCCAGCCTACCCTCCAAAGCAGTTGCCATAGGCTCTTTTCTTCCAAGGTTGGGAGGGACAGTTCATTCCCCAAGAGGCCTCTCCAGGGGCGGAGGCGGGTGCTGGGGCTGGCCTGTCTGCAGCTCCCTGGCCCTACCCAGTGGGGATCGCGTGTCAGTACTGGGGTTTGGTGGGCTGCCAAGGGGTGAGCCCTGAGGTGGTTTTCTGGGAAGGATAGATGCCATGTGTGACTCAGAACCAAGTTAGGGAAAAAACAAGCTCACTCAATCTCTAGCACCCTCTGCCTGGCCTGGCTTTGCCCATGAGCTCATAAAAGAGGAAGCTGGGCCGGCCAGACAGTAGCTCTGCTTTCCCTCATGTTTTCTCTCCACGTCTCACGGATTCCCTAGAGTGTCTGGGCCTCAGGCCACCGTCATCCTAGCTCCTGGGCCCTGGCTCTTTTATGACACTTTCCCTTCCCAGACACTTGGTCATTTCTTTCCCCAGGTTGGGAATCCCACCTACCATAGAAGGGGAATTGCACACAAGGGGAGGTTGCAAATCTCTGTGTTCCTTGGCCCTGCTGAGGCCTCCACTGTCAGCCATGACCATTTGGGTTTGTGCGTGTGACTGCTGTGTCTCTGACACAGACCAAGTGGTGCTGACCCTGGGAGCCTGAATTAATAGATTTCTTGAGAGCTGAGATTCTCTGGTTCAGGAAAGAAAAAGGGGGTACCAAATGACTGGGCAGCCGAGCCACCCTCAGGGCTGCAATATTCCAGTTGGGACCAACTTACCTAGTACTTTTGGCATTCAGAACAGTTCACTACCAAAAAGGCACATTTTATTTTAGTGAAAATGGGACAATCATGGGCCATAAAGAACCTTCCTAACTATTGTTCCTCCGGTTCACCTCCTATACCCCCCAGGGCTTTCTTGTTCAAAGACAGACTTGACCATGTCCATGCCTGCTTCAGTAAGTTCAGTGGCTCCAAACTCTCTGAGTTCCCAACCCAAATCCAGGCACCTTGCAGGCTTTCTCTTTCAACACCCCCATTGCTTCTTGATGTTGTGCATCTCTAATTTTGTCCTTTTTCTCACACATGCCAAACTCTTACCCATTGGACCCTATAACCGTTCTATTTCTTTTCCTTTTTCCTCCCTATTCTCCTGGGAAAAAACCACTCCTGAACCTGCCATCCAGAATTAGTTCATCTACATTGTATACAAATCTCTCAAAGCATCACACACACGATATTATAGTCATTTGTCTATCTTTTTGATTGCCAGGAGAGGCACGTGCCATTGAGATGCAGCCGTCTTAATACTGGTAACCTCTTGACAAGGCCTAAAATTATTATTAAATTGTCACCATTAAAAAAAAAAATCAGTGGCCAGGCACGGTGTCTCATTCCTGTAATCCCAGCACTTTGGGAGGCCGAGGTGGGCAAATCACCTGAGGTCAGGAGTTCGAGACCAGCCTGGCCAACATGGTGAAACCCCGTCTCTACTAAAAATACAAAAATTAGCCTGGCGTGGTGGCAGGCGCCTGTAATCCCAGCTACTTGGAAGGCTAAGGCAGGAGAATCGCTTGAACCCGGGAGGCAGAGGTTGCAGTGAGCCGAGATCACGCTATCGCACTCCAGCCTGGGGGACAAGAGCAAGACTTCTCAAAAAAAAAAAAAATCAGTAAGAAATGTATAAACCAGATATTCTCAACCTATCCCTGTGGGTTGAACTCATCCTATCTCTGACCCTGAGCCTTTCACATAAAATTTGGTAGTATTTGGTGATACTGCATTTTGTTTTAAAAAGTCAGGTAGATTGAAGTATAATTTAAATACAGTAAAATTCATCCTTCTTAGGAGTAGTTTTTGATGAGTTTTGATAAATGCATATAGTTTGTGTAAAGGCCTCCACCATGATGATATAGAGTTTTCCATCACCCCCAAAAGTTCCCTGCATCCCTTTGTAGTCAGTCCTGTCCCCATCCCCTATAGCAACCACTGATCAGACTTCTAACCTTACAGTTTTGCCTGTTCTAGAATGTCATATAGATGAAACTACAGGCTGGGCAAGGTGGCTCATGCCTGTAATCCCAGCACTTTGGGAGGCCGAGGCGGGAGGATCATCTGAGGTCAGGAGTTCAAGACCAGCCTGACCAACATGGTGAAACCCCGTCTCTACTAAAAATTAGCCAGGTGTGGTGGCGGGTGGCTATAATCCCAGCTACTTGGGAGGTTGAGGCAGGAGAATCACTTGACCCCAGGAGGCAGAGGTTGCAGTGAGCTGAGATCACGCCATTTCACTTCAGCCTGGGCAACAAGAGCAAAACTCCGTCTCAAAAAAAAAAAGAAAGAAAGAAAGAACGAAACTACAGTAGACACTCTTTTGTGTCCAGATTCTTTTGCTCAGTATAATATTTTTGTGATTCATCCATGTCATGGCATGATTCAGTAGTTCTTTCCTTTTGACTTCTGCATAGCATTCCATTGTATAAATATATGACAGTTGGCTTATTAATTCACCATTGATGGACATTGTGGTTTTTTTCTTATTTTTGGAAATGATGAATAAAGCTACTATGAACATTCATAGACAACTCTTTTTTAAGACATGTATTCTTATTTCTCTTGAGCAGATGTCTAGGAGTAGTATAACTAGGTGCATGTTTAGCTTAGTAAGAAATCGCTGCTGTGCCCAGTGGCTCACACCTGTGATCCCAGCACTTGCACCACGACGCCCAGCTAATTTTTGTATTTTTAGTAGAGACAGGTTTCACCATGTTGATCAGGCTGGTCTCAAACTCCTGACCTCAAGTGATCAGCCCACCTTGGTCTCCCAAAGTGCTGGGATTACAGGTGTGTGCCACCATGCCCAGCCTAAAGGCAGAAGGATTTCTTGAGCCCAGGAGTTTGAGATCAGCCTGGGCAGCATGGAGAGACCTCGTCTCTACAAAATTAAAAAATTAGCCAGGTGTTGTGGTGCGCGCCTGTGGTCCCAGCTACTCTGGGAGGCTCAGGTCGAAGGATCACTTGAATCCAGGGGTCGAGGCTGTGGTAAGTCACATTCACACCACTGCACTCCAGCCTGGGAGACAGAGCGAGACCCCATTCTAAAAAAAGAAAAAATAAGGGCTGGGCTCGGTGGCTCATGCCTGTAATCCCAGCACTTTGGGAAGCTGAGGCGGGCAGTTCATGAGGTCAGAAGATCGAGACCAGCCTGGCTAACATGGTGAAACCCCGTTTCTACTAAAAATTCAAAAATTAGCTGAGCGTGGTGGTGCGTGCCTGTAATCCCAGCTACTCAGGAGGCTGAGCCAGGAGAATCGCTTGAACCAGGGAGTCGGAGATTGCACAGTGAGCCAAGATTGCACCACTGCACTCCAGCCTGGCGAGACTCCGTCTCAAAAAAAAAAAAAAGAAAAAAAAGAATTTGCTATGCTATTTTCCAAAGTGGTTCATACTGACAGAACTGTTTTAAGGAAGCTGCATCAAAATGTTCCTCTTGTAAATTCTTGCTTAAAATATGCCAAAACTAAGTGTTTTTTTTGTTATAGAACAGGTTGCCACTCAGATTACCTCAAGGGACAGAGATGGGCTGGAATAGAGCCACCTCAGTGGCCAGTAACCTGCCCCTTGAAGAACCAGCATGTCTTCCAGAAGCCACAGTGGCTTCCAGTGCCCAGCGGCAGCCCCAGGAGCACACCCTGCCTCCCTGCCCAGACTCCTTGTGGCTCAGCATCTCTGTCTGCAGTGACTGGCTCTGCCCAGGTCTTGTGGGGTAGTGTGAAGTGACACTAGCCCACACACCTGAGCATGTATGATGCCTCAGAGGCACTGTGTGTTTTTTTTTTGTTTGTTTGTTTGTTTGAGATGGAGTCTTGCTCTGTCTGTAGCCCAGGCTGGAGTGCAGTGGCGCGATCTTGGCTCACTGCAAGCTCCAACTCCCGGGTTCATGCCATTCTCTCCCTCAGTCTCCCGAGTAGCTGGGACTACAGGCGCTCACCACCACTCCTGGCTAATTTTTCGTATTTTTAGTAGAGATGGGGTTTCCCCGTGTTAGCCAAGATGGTCTCGATCTCCTGATCTCGTGATCTGCCCACCTCGGCCTCCCAAAGTGCTAGGATTACAGGCGTGAGCCACCACGCCCGGCATAGGCACTGTTTTAAGAGCTATACTCAAATCAATTCATTAAGCCTTCATAACCCCAACTGTTATTTTATCTATACACCCATTTTACAGATGAGAAAAATGAGGTTCAATGAGGCAATTCACTTTCTTAAGGTTGTGTAACCAAGAAGTAATGGGAGTTAGATGTGAACCTAGGTCTATTTCATTCCAAAGCCTAGTGGCATACCTATTTGTCAGAGCATAGATGCTAGAGCCCATCTACCTGGGTTCAACTCCATGTTTGTTTGTTTGTTTTTTGTTTTTGATTTTGAGATGGAGTCTCACTATGTTGCCCAGGCTGGAGTGCAATGGCATGGTCTTGGCTCACTGCAACCTTTGCCTCCCAGGTTCAAGCAATTCTCCTGCCTCAGCCTCCTGATTAGCTGGGATTACAGGCATGTGCCACCATACCTGGCTAATTTTTGTTTTTTTAGTACAGATGGGGTTTCACTATGTTGGCCAGACTGGTCTTGAACTCCTGACCTCGTGATCTGCCTGCCTCGGCCTCCCAAAGTGCTGGGATTACAGGCATGAGCCACCATGCCTGGCTTGTTTGTTTTTAGAGTCAAGATCTTCCACTACAGCTCAGGCTGTAGTGCAGTGGCGCCATCATAGCTCACTATAGCCCCAAACTCCTGGGCTCAAGCAATCCTGCCACTTCAGCTTCCTGAGTTTCTAGGACTACAGGCGTGTGCCACCATGCCCAACTAATTAAAAAAAATTTTTTTTTTTTTTTGGTAGAGATAGGGTCTCACTTTGTTGCCCAGGCTGGTCTCAAACTCTTGGCTTCAAATGATCTTCCTGCCTCAGCCTCCCAAAATGGTGGGATTACAGGTATGAAACACCATGCCTGGACAACTGTATGTTTTAATTCACTTAATTTTCATGGTACACCTCTGAGAGGAGGGCATGACAACACTCATTATACAGGTGCAGTGACAGCACAGAACTCTGTGAAGCAGGGGAATGACAGAGTTGAGTTTGGCATCCAGGAAGTTTGTCTCCAGAGACAAAGCTATTGACCTCAACACCTTCCTGCCTCTCAACAATCCTCATTATTAATGTTATTATTCAACCCACTGACCTAGCTCTTTTTGTCTTTGGGGTTTTACACTGCTCTGATGTTCATGTCCTTGCTTATGTCTTAAATTGAGACTCTGAATGGGTTGTGTACACACTCCCCAGGATACAGTAACCTTTTTGGGTATTCTCACCTCTGGCTGCATCACTGGCCTCTTGCCAGCCCTTGAGAACTGCCCCTAGCTCAAGCAAGGATCCTAATTTAGTAGATGAGGTCAGGGCCGGAAGATTATCTGCAGGGTGACCTATGCCCAAGGACTTACTCCCAAATACTTTTCTCAAGAGAAGGTGGTGTAACCAGAAGACACTTTAAGGTCTTGAGGCCATCCCCAAAGATCATTTGTTTCCTCAAACAGATTTTGGGCTTTTTCAGGTGAGAGACTAATCACTGAACCCACTGTCAGTATTCAGCAGTGTGCCTGATTGATATATACTAGGTACTCAATGGTTTTGACTGAATGATGAATAAATAAATGAATAAATAAAGAAGCCCAGATTCTCTTAATTTAGGTCTATGCTGTCTAATACAGTAGCATGTGGCTATTTATTTTATTTTATTTTTTGAGATGGAGTCTCACTCTGTCGCCCAGGCTGGAATGTAGTGGCATGATCTTGGCTCACTGCAACCTCTGCCTCCCAGGTTCAAGCAGTTCTCCTGCCTCAGCCTCCTAGGTTGCTGGGATTACAGGCTTGTGCCACTATGCCCAGCTAATTTTTGTATTTTTATTATTTATTTATTTATTTATTTTGAGTCAAAGTCTCACTCTGTCACCCAGGCTGGAGTGTAGTGGCGTGATCTCAGCTCACTGCAGGCTCTGCCTCCCGGGTTCACACCATTCTCCTGCCTCAGCCTCCTGAGTAGCTGGGACTACAGGCTCCCGCCACCACACTCAGCTAATTTTTTGTATTTTTAGTAGAGACGGGGTTTCTCCTTGTTAGCCAGGATGGTCTCGATCTCCTGACCTCGTGATCCGCCCGCCTTGGCCTCCCAAAGTGCTGGGATTACAGGCGTGAGCCACCGCGCCCAGCATTTTTGTATTTTTAATGGAGACGGGGTTTCACCATGTTGGCCGGGCTGGTCTCGAACTCCTGACATCAGGTCATCTGCCCACCTTGGCCTCCCAAAGTGCTAGGATTACAGGCGTGAGCCACTGCGCCCAGCTGCATGTGGCTATTTGAATGTAAATTCTAATGAGTCAAAATTTAAAATTCAGTTTCTCAGTTTCATTAGCCACATTTCAAGAGCACGATAATCCCATGTGGCCAGTGATTACCATATTTGAAAACACGGAAATAGAACATTTCCATCATTACAGAAAGATTTGTTGGACAGCACTAGGCTAGATGACAGATAGGGTGGGGGAAGAGAAAATGCTGCATTGGGAAAATGCTTGGTATAGGCTGACGGCTTTAATCTGCTTTTGACACTTTTAAAAGAGTCAAGATCACTTGTCTCTCATTAGATTGTATCGCACACTGCCCATTCAGAGGTCCAGAAACCACTTCTTCTTCAGAAATCTTGTACTGAGAAATGGAAGCCCATTTCTGATCACATACATGACCCATGCTTCTTCAGAAAGGAAGGCATGAAGTTGAAGGGGGAACTAAGACTGCTGAGTTCTTCTGTCTTCGGCCACAGGAAACTAACTGATTCATGGCACTTTGTACCCATGAGCTCATCTAGTCCTCCCAGGGCACAGGAAAGTGGTGAAAATAAGTGGCCATGGTTCACAGATTTTTCAGCTGGTAGAGGCTAGTTCCTACACTTAAAACATCAGTAGATTGTCAAATGTGTTCCAACTAAGAGCAGTGGAAGGCAGAAAGGTGTATAAAATATGGGTCTTAAGAGGTTTATAACCAAGTTAAGGGAAATTAAGAGATCAGCACATAAATATAAGTATACAAAACTGTAACTGTATCTGTAGCTATATGTGTGTGTCCATCTATTTATTATCTATCTACCTACTTATCTAATAACATAATTAACTAACATTTATTTGATATCTTAGAGCTTAACAAGTACTTTTCCTCATATGAAGACTCAGCAGATCCCCATGATGAATGTCAAACAAATGGAATGTTGGTACAGAGAGCAAGCATTCTAGGCATTCGCAGCCGGGTGAGATCACTGTGGATGGAGTGATGGGGGAAAGCTTTTGTTGAGGCAGAACCAGCAGGAATGTGGGGTAGTCACACAAACACAGATACAATTCCTGGTTTCCCTACTAGACACTTCCCAGGCTCTCAATTGCTTGTAGTTTTTGTTTGCTTTTTTTTTTTAAGACATGGTCTCACTCTGTGGCCCAGGCTGGAGTGCAGTGCCATGGTGTAATCATGGCTCGGTGCAGTGGTACTATCATGGCTCAGTGCAGTGGTGCGATCATGTCTCAGTGCAGTGGTGCGATTATGGCTCAGTGCAGTGGTGCGATCATGGCTCAGTGCAGTGGTGCGATCATGGCTCAGTGCAGTGGTGCAATTATGTCTCAGTGCAGTTGTGCGATCATGTTTCAGTGCAGTGGTGCGATCATGGCTCAGTGCAGTGGTGTGATCATGGCTCAGTGCAGTGGTGTGATCATGGCTCAGTGTAGTCGTGTGATCATGGCTCAGTGCAGTGGTGCAGTCATGGCTCAGTGCAGCCTCAACTGCCAGAGCTCAAGCAGTTCTCCCTCCTCAGCCTCCTGATTTGTTGGGACCATGGGTGTGTGCCACCACATCTGGCTAATTTTTTGACTATTTGTAGACACAGGGCCTCGCTATGTTGTTCAGGCCGGTCTCAAACTCCTGGGCTCAAGTAATCCTCCTCGGCTTCCCAAAGTGCTGGGATTACAGGCGGGAGCCACTGCGCTGGGCCCACTGCTAGTAGTTCATTTTACTTTCTAAAAGATAAAATGTTGATGAAGAGTTCTTAGTGATCCATGTTTTCTCTCCAGTCCTCCACCAAAATAACGCATTTTAAAAAAACAAACTCCCACATATTTTATAGTGATTCTACAAATGTAGAATAATTTGGATACTCTTAATACAAAATGGTTTGAGTTACCTTTATTTAATAATCCTGTGATGAGCATACAATGACATACGTCAAATAACTTACAACTCAGGCTTATATAACATCGGCTCTGCCCCAAATTCCTGCCGTGTAGAACACATAAAAATCCAACCCTGCAGTCTGACCAGTCTTGCCTAGGTTCTCCTTACATAATCATAACCACTTCCCTGCCAGGAGCAATTTTAAAATGTTCTTCTAAAGCCCTGTGCACTTCGCCTTGGCTTCCTTTAACTTTTCTTTTCTCTTTTTTTTTTTGAGAGGGAGTTTCGCTCTTGTTGCCCAGGCTGGAGTGCAATGGCTTGATTTCGGCTCACCGCAACCTCCGCCTCCCAGGTTCAAGCGATTCTCCTGCCTCAGCCTCCCAAGTAGCTGGGATTACAGTGTGTGCCACCATGCCCGGCTAATTCTGTATTTTTATTAGAGATGGGGTTTCTCCATGTTGGTTAGGCTGGTCTTGAACTCCCGACCTCGGGTGATCCGCCCACCTTGGCCTCCCAAAGTGCTGGGATTACAGGTGTGAGCAACCGCGCCTGGCCGGTTTCCTTTAACTTTTCTAAAGAGCTTCTACTTTTCTTCCTTGGCATTTGAATTTCTTTGGCTTCAAGCCACAAAAATGATTGTCCTTAACTTGAACAGAATAGATGAGTCTTGGGAGGATATTGAATAGCTCACAGAATCAAAGGAAGGCCAGAGAATCAGGCTCAGGAGACAAAGAACCAGGGTAGCTCCAGCGGATGAGGTAGCAGGAATCGACGGTGTTGTCCTGGCTACCTGCTGAAATGAGTAAGTGACAAAGGGTTTTTTCCATCCTTTCCATTTTGTTCATCATTCAAAGCCCTAGCAGAGAGAATCTGATCAGCCTAGTCTAGGTAAAGGCTAGGGGAAAAAGCACACCTTAACCATAGCTCATTAGGAATGCACACAGGTAATTCTCCAAGGAATCCAGTGACTGTTCTCAGGAGAAGAGAATGCATGCAGGATGGTCAAACCTCAGAAAATATCCACCACATTCGCATTTTCTCTTACCTCCATTTTCTACTTTTTCTAATTATCCACAACAGGGGTGACTAACATATCTTCCAAGGTTGTGAAAAATATATAGAAAAATAAATCTACCTGTATTGGAATTTTTCCCAGAAAGGATTAATGGTTGGGAAAGTTTGGCCCTACTTACCCCTCAGTGTTAAATATAAGGATTAAAGAAAATATATGCAAAATGCCTATTACCTTACTTGGCATGTAGCAAGGTTCATTAAATGTCAGTCCCATTTCACCCCTTCCCATTCACCCACTGTTGTGCTGAAGCCAGCTCACACCAGTTCATGAGAAGAATCATTATAGTTTCAGGAACTTTATGAGCCAACTGGCATAACATTGGTAGCTTGAAGTTGGCCTTTGTAGAGACAGAAAGATGTGATTGCTTTCTGCACCCATCCTGAGTCATGACCAATACTCCCATAACAAAAGACAGGCGAACAAAACAAAAGCATAACAAATTTATTTTATTTTATGTATCTATTTTTTTGAAACGGAGTTTCACTCTTGCCCAGGCTGTAGTGAAGTGGCATGATCATGGCTCACCATAGCCTTAACCTCCTGGGCTCAAGCAATCCTCCTGACTCAGCCTACAGAGTAGCTGGAACTACAGGTGCAGACCACCACACACAGGTAATTTTTTGTAGAGATGGGGTTTCACCATGTTACTCAGGCTGGCCTCGAACTCCTGGGCTCAAACCATCTGCTTGTCTCATCTTCCCAAAGTGCTGGGATTACAGGTGTGAGCCCCTGTGCCCGACCAACAAATTTATTTCATCAAAGTTTTACATGACATGGGAGCCTTCAGAAATGAAGACCCCAGAAATGCTCAGAGAAAACAATTTTTTTGATTAGTTTCGATGAAGAATGGACAGCCAAGGCTGGGTGCAGTGGCTCACACCTGTAATCCCAGTACTTTGGGAGGCTGAGGTGGGAGGATCACATGAGGCCAGGAGTTTGAGACCAGCCTGGCCAATATAATGAAACCCCGTCTGTACTAAAAATACAAAAATTAGCCGGGCGTGGTGGTGTGTGCCTGTAATCCCAGCTACTCAGGAGGCTGAGGCAGGAGAATCACTTGAACCTGGGAGACAGAAGTTGCAGTGAGTTGAGATCGTGCCACTGCACTCCAGCCTAGGCCACAGAATGAAACTCTGTCTCAGAAAAAAAAAAAAAAAAGAACAGACAGTCATGTAGAAATGTGACTGAACACAGGCTGGGCACGGTGGCTTATGCCTGTAATCCTAGCACTTAGGGAGGCCAAGGCGGGCGGATCACCTGAGGTCGGGAGTTCAAGACCAGCCTGACCAACATGGAGAAACCCCATCTCTACTAAAAATACAAAATTAGCTGGGCATGGTGGTGCGTGCCTGTAATCCCAGCTACTTGGGAGGCTGAGGCAGGAGAATCGCTTGAACCCAGGAGGAGGAGGTTGCAGTGAGCCAAGATAGTGCCATTGCACTCCAGCCTGGGCAACAAGAGCGAAACTCCATCTCAAAAAAAAAAAAAAGAAAAGAAAAGAAATGTGATTGAACACAAAGTGAATGGTCGCATGGGAATAGGCTGAGGGAGAAAGCCAGCAGAGCCTGTCTGTTGGGATTCTGCTTGGTCTCTCTGTGCAGCATTCCTTCCTTCTGGATATAGGCAGGGACTCTCCAAAATAAGGGTTTTATGACCTACTATTAGAAAAGGTAGCTCAGTTTTTTTTTTTTTTTTTAATGAGCTGTGCTTATACAGAAAGGCAAAGGAAGGCTAGAGTAATAGTTCTAAGTTTTATGATTGGCTTTGGGGGAAAGACATTCTGGTTTCTTTGACCTGCCTTGGAGGAGAGAGGGGAGCAGGAGAAGGTCAGAGGCAGACTTTACTTCTCAGGTCCTTCCCATGTTCTTCTCAACTTGCCAAAACACCAAACTCTGGGGTATCATTTTCTGAGCCCCAACACCTTGATGGAAGTATTTACACCACAGAAATCGGAAATGTTGCAAGTCAGAACTTTCACCTACCCCCAGCCCTCCACTGCCTCTGAGAGTTAAACATTTACAGGCCACTGCCACATCTGCTCCTTTCTTTCCTTCACAAATTGTGAGAAGAACCAAGTTAGCATTAGGTTGACCTGTGAGTGACAAAAACCGAATAGAACAATGGCTTCCTAGATGGAAGTCCATTTCTCTCTGACAGAAACAAAGTCCAGAGCCAGGCAGGCAGCTCGGGGCTGGGACAGCTCCGCCTTGCTGCCTCACTGTCTTTGATGCATGGCTCTTTGTGATTTAGGATGACTGCTCAGGCTCCATGTTCAGGCCAAGGGGAAAGAGAAGGACAAAGAAATACACACCCCATCCTAGTAGGTCCACAGACAGAAGTAACCCGTAACATTTCTGCTCATTTCAAATAGGTTGGAAGGAAGTCTCTCTGCCACATCTGGCTGCCAGGGAGGCTTAGAGCCCTGTTGCTTCCTGCAGGCAGCCATGTGCCCTGCTGGGGGCTGAGAAGGGGAGGACAGGGGCCGGGGGGCAGCTGAGAAGCCAGGTGGGATTCGAGAACATGTAGGGGAGAGGGAGAACTGGTGTTGGTGTGATGGGAATGAGCATAGTTTGTGGAACTCTGGGGGAGCTGACTGGAATAGAAAATTAAAAATACTGACAAATGAGGTTAAATAAACAAGGTGGAAGCCAGAGCTCAGTGAGGGACCAGGAAAGCAGACAAAAGAATCTTTATCTGCTGCCACTAGACACCGGAGGCACTGAACTTTCCAGCAGGGGAGCTACATGATCAGAGGCATTTCAGAAATGTTAATCTCACACTTAAGTGCTAGACAGATTGGAGGCAGGAGGAAAAACAGGAAGCAGCAGGGAGGTTGGAAAGGAGAATTATTTCATAAGCCAGGTGTGAGGTGATTATCGGGGAACCTGCCCCATTAGTCACGTAGGTTCTTTTCTATTTTCCTAAGCATCGGCCAGTTTGAGAAATAAAGGGACAGAGTACAAAAGAGAGAAATTTTAAAGCTGGGCATCCGGGGGAGACATCACATGTTGGTAGGTTCCGTGATGCCCCGCAAGCCGCAAAACCAGCAAGTTTTTATTAGGGATTTTCAAAAGGGGAGGGAGTGTGTGAATAGGTGTGGGTCACAGACATCAAGTACTTCACAAGGTAATAGAATATCGAAAGGCAAATGGAGGCAGGGCGGGATCACAGGACCACAGGACCGGGGCGAGATTAAAATTGCTAATGAAGTTTCTGGCACAATTGTCATTGATAACATTTTATCAGGAGACAGGGTTTTGAGAGAAACTGGTCTGACCAAAATTTATTAGGCAGGAATTTCCTCTTCCTAATAAGCCTGGGAGCGCTATGGGACACTGGGGTCTATTTCACCCCTACAGCCTCGACCATAGAAGATGGCCACGCCCAGGGGGGCCAGTTCAGAGACCCACCCCCAGGCGTGTATTCTCTTTCCCAGGGATGTTCCTTGCTGAGAAAAAGAATTCAGCAATATTTCTCCCATTTGCTTTTGAAAGAAGAGAAATATGGCTCTGTTCCGCCCAGCTCACCGGCGGTCAGAGTTTAAGGTTATCTCTCTTGTTCCCTAAACATTGCTGTTATCCTGCTCTTTTTTCAAGGTGCCCAGATTTCATATTGTTCAAACACATATGCTCTACAATTTGTGCAGTTAATGCAATTATCACAGGGTCCTGAGGCGACATACATCCTCCTTGGCTTACGAGATGACAGGATTAAGAGATTAAAGTAAAGACAGTCATAGGAAATCACAAGGGTATTGACTGGGGAAGTGATAAGTGTCCATGAAATCTTCACAATTTATGTTTAGAGATTGCAGTAAAGACAGGCATAAGAAATTATAAAAGTATTAATTTGGGGAACTAATAAATGTCCATGAAATCTTCACAATCCACATTCTTCTGCCATGGCTTCAGCTGGTCCCTCCGTTTGGGGTCCCTGACTTCCTGAACAGTGATTACATGGGGACAATGGGAATGAGGAGGAAGAATGA
Organism: Homo sapiens; assembly: GCF_000001405.40. NCBI lineage: Eukaryota > Metazoa > Chordata > Mammalia > Primates > Hominidae > Homo > Homo sapiens. The sequence goes on from NT_167245.2 coordinate 2,021,632, forward strand.
GAGGCATTTGCTAGAAAATGTATTCAAACTGATGGCTGGTCTGAAAGGGAGTTGTAGGCTGGGGTGATGAGAGACAGGTCTCATAGCAACAGGGTAAACAAAGTAAACTTGGCTTGGTTGGTGTTTTATTTATTATTATTATTTTTTTGAGATGGAGTTTTGCTCTTGTTGCCCAGACTGGAGTGCAATGGTGCAATCTCAGCTCACTGCAACCTCTGCCTCCCAGATTCAAGTGATTCTCCTGCCTCAGCCTCCCGAGTAGCTGGGGTAACAGGTATGTGCCACCATGGCCAGCTAATTTCTTTATTTTTACTAGAGACGGGGTTTCACCATGTTGGCCAGGCTGATCTCCAACTCCTGACCTCAAGTGATCCGCCCACCTTGGCCTCCCAAAGTGCTGGAATTACAGGCATGAGCCACGGCACCCGGCCTATTATTATTATTATTTTATTTCGAGACAGGGTCTTCCTCTGTCACTCAGGCTGAAGTGCAGTGGTGCAATCTCAGCTTTCTGCAACCTCTGCCTCCTGGGCTCAAGCGATCGATCCTCCCGTCTCAGCCTCCCAAGTAGCTGGGACTACAGGCGCATGCCACAAAGCTAGGCTAATTTTTTTTTTGTATCTTTTGAAGAGGCAAGATTTTGCTGTGTCCAGCCTGTCTCCAGGCTGGTCTTGAACTCATGAGCTCAAAGCAATCTGCCCACCTTGGCCTCCCAAAGTGCTGGGATTGCAGGTGTGAGCCACTGCACTCGGCAGCAGGTGTTTTAGATTGGGCTACCTTGAAGCAGAACCTGGGGTGGGGACTTTTGTTCAAGAGATACACTGCGGGAGGCTCTCAGGAGAAAGACTGAAGAAAACAGGATAGGGAAGGGAAAAAGGCTAAGCAAGGATGTGAGCTTCAGCCTGAGCTCATGGGGAAGCTCAGGGCAGCAAATTGCACCAGTCAATTGCACTTGGAGGCATGGGGGCTGGCGTTTTGTAGATCTGCTTTAAGGTCAGGCAGCCACTGGGAGTCTGTCCAGAGTGTGTGCAAGGGAGGAGGGCTTGGCTCCTGTTTGGCCCAGGGCAATTCTCCAGAAAAGGGGACAATTGTGTGTGGTTATCAGCTGATATTCCCAAAAGCTGGAAAGTGAGTGGACTCACTGGTGAAAAGGACCTGAGCCCAAACAGTGTCCATGATAGTGAATCCATTTTGGTTGTGTTGGATTTGAGGTGGCAAAGAAATAAGGAACTGGCATGTGACTGCGGGAAATTGGAGCTACAAGACAGGAGTTCAGGTGAAAAGATAGGACTAGGTATGTAGCTATTGGAGTGGGGGACTTCGGCGCACAGATGATAGGGTTTTTTGTTTGTTTGTTTGTGAGGGTTTTTTTGTTTGTTTGTTTGTTTGTTTGGAGAGAGGGTCTTGCTCTGTAACCCTGGCTGGAGTATAGTGGCATGATCATAGCTCTCTGCAGCCTTGACCTCCCAGGCTCAAGAGATCGTCTCACCTCAGCTTCTTGAGTAGCTGATACTACAGGTGTATGTCACCACTCCCAGCCAATTTTTTAAACATTTTTTTAGAGACTGGGGGTCTCACTGTGTTGCCCAGGCTGGTCTCAAATTCCTGGGCTCAAATGATCCTGCTGCCTCAGCCTCCCAAAGTTTTGGGATTATAGGTGTGAGCCATGGCGCAGGCCTAGATGATAGTTTAAACAAGAGGGAATTTGTATATTTGTCACTTTGGGGGTTGCTGGTGGCCTTTGAAGGAAGAGTTTCACAGCAGGACAGAGTACAAAACCATATGGTGACGTGAGGTCTAGTAATGCTTTCCACAGTTAATGTCCTTCCATTCTGACTAACTCTTAACACCTCTAGGGTACTTTCTCCTTCGACTTATGTGCTGCTCATTCTGGCTTGTCCTCTGTGTTCTGGTTATTTTTTGTTGTCCAACAAATTGCCTCAAAATTTTGTGGCATGAGACAACCCTTTATTACGTTCACGGATTCTGTGGGCCAGGAATTTGGACACACCGCAGTGGGGATGGCTTGTCTCTGCTCCATGTTATCTGGGGCTGCAGCTGGAAGACTCGAAAGCTGGGGGACTGAAATCGTCTGCAGACACTTTGCAGTGGATGCTGGCAGTTAGCTCAGGGACCTCAGGGTTTCTACCTGTGGTCTAGTTAGAGTTTCTCTTGCATAGTGGCTGGGTTGCTGTGAGGGAACCAGGCATGAACTGCTTTTTTTTTTTTTGAGGTGAAGTTTCACTCTTGTTGCCCAGGCTGGAGTGCAGTGGTGCAGTCATGGTTCACTGCAGCCTTGACTACCCAGGCTTAAGTGATCCTCCTGCCTCAGTCTCCCTGGTAGCTGGGGCTACTGCCAACATGCCTGGCTGATTTTTGTATTATTATTATCATTATTTTGTAGAGACAGGGTCTCACTATGTTGCCCAGGCTGGTCTCCAACTCCTGGGCTCAAGCAATCTGTCCATCTCAGCCTCCTAAAGTATTGGGATTACAGGTGTGAGCCACTGTGCCCAGCTGCATTCTTTTTATAACCTCATCTTTTTTTGATCTGCATCACCTCCCTCCTACCCTATTGGTCAGAGTAGTCACAGCCCCGCTCCCATTCAAAGAGAGGGAACATGGCCCCTACCTGGAGTGTCAGTCATGGGACAAGGAGAGCAAGTGGAAAGGGGCACCCAACTTTGGAAAATACCATCGGCCACACTCTATTGGAGCCTCCATTTGCTTTTTATGAGTGGCCTTCATTTATTTAGCTGTCATTGGGTCAACAATAACAGCAACTTGAGGAACCTCTTGAGGGCAGGGATCAGGCCTGTTACGTTTGTTTACTTTATCTTTATATCCTGAGCATTGGCCCAGGAATAAGTATCTGTGGAAGGACGGGATCCTTCTAAGTCTCTCATCTATTTTTCATACACGGCATCATTTAATTCTAAACTAGCTGTCATTACCATTTCACAATTGAAGAAACTGAGGCTTAGAGGCGCAAATGGTCTCTCTCAGATGACTCAGGTCTTCTGGGTTGATGTGGCTTTTATTAAGAACTTGTTGTCTCCAACAGCAAATAGCATTCCTAGGGGCTGGGGCTGTTTCTTCAAGGCCCCTGCCTCTGCACCCTGGTAGCAGCACAGGCCTAGCTGTAGGGCTGTGGACAGCGTGCCCTCGGCTGCTTACTGACTGGTTGGCATTTGATACATATGATGATTTAACATGAAGATTTAGTGTGATTTTGCATCTCTTCATGGGAGCAGGGTCAGGACCAGGTCCTGTTGCGGAATTCAGCTTTGGGGCTGGGTAGAAGACTGGGATGAAGTTGCTCCTCATCTCTGTGCCCTGGCTATGAGCAGGCAGCACCTGGGTCAGGAGTGTGAGGTGAGTGGGTGATGCTAAGGAGGGTTCAGGTGGAGCAGTCAGACTGTGCTGAGTAACTCCCCTGGAGGGGAAGGGGGACGTGGTGGAGGCAGTTCCTGGAGGCCCAGCTCAGAGCGGAGAAAGGAGCCAATTACCACCTCCTCCCAAGTCACATCCCAGCCCTGGGAATACTTCACAGGCTCCGGGGAAATCCCGGCCAAGTGGCAGAGTGGGTGGTGGGGTGCTTATCACTCATGATCAGGAGTGGGTGGGGGCGGATCTTAGAGCTTGCATCAGGCCTCAATTTTCCAACTCCTGCCTGTGATCCACCCCCGCGCCCACTGCACACCACCAACCAACCTTTGACTTTATCTCTTTAGTTGATTTCTCAGAGATTGCAGATCAGGAAGGGCCTTTGGAAACCACAGCTTCCACTTCCGCTGTGGGGGCAGAAAGCACGGGACAATCTAACCCTTTCGTGCCTGGAAAGTAACAAGGAGGACTCTGCCCTTACCAGGTTCCCAAGGTCCTGTACCAGCCCCACAGGGACTGCTGAGGGGAGCTTTTTCTCTCTGGTTCCTCATCCTCTCCTCTACTCAGGTGTAGGCTGTCCCTGCCTAGTTGGTCTGACAGTAGCTCCCTGCGACTTCTCATATCACCTCCGACTCCCCAGCCTCACCTCCACGGGCCCTGATGCACTGGCTTCGGCTGTGTCTTTTGTGAGTCATCCTTGCTGCTTTGTTCCAGCCCCACTGATGGACCTCCTGCCCTCCCCCATGCAGGACTTAGTCACCGCTCGTGTCATCAATCCCTCTGGAATGCACCCCTCCTCCAGACACCCATGCTCCCCACATCCTTTATTATTTTGTTAAAACTAGCAATGCCCCCCCCAACCCCCATGATTAAAATAGTACATGTTTGTTGTGGGAAATCTGTAATATGCAAAATATACACAAAAGAGAATAAAAAGCACCAATAATTCCATAACCCAAATTAGCTAACATTACATTCCGGTGGATTTCCATCTGGCATTCTCCTCGCCAGAACTCCGTCCAGCTTCAGGCCTTCATGTGTGCTTATTGCTTCTTTTACCTGCAGTCATGCTCTCTGTCTCTCCCCTCCTTCAATCTGTGAGCAAATCTACTCATCCTTATTATTTTAAGGGTCATTCTTTCAGAGAAACCTTCCCTCTACCCCCAAGCTAGTCTCTTTATTACACACTCACAATACCCAGTACTTTTCCTTGTAGCACTCACCACAACTAGAAATAAATCATCATTTTTGTCCTCTTGTGTTTAATGTCTGCCTAGCTACCTGACGTAAGGTCTGTGACTGGTTTTCTTGTTTACTCTGATGGCCCTAGCACCCATCACAGTGCCCTGTACTCAGAAAACATACATCATACCCAGATGCCTTCCCGGAATAACCATGTGCCTGTCTTCCCAGCACTTACAATAATCAATTTAACAAATATAATTAATCAATTACTATGTGCCTGGCTTGGTTTCAGGTACAGGATACCAAGCAAAATGACCCAGTTCTTACCCTCGAGGAGGTCTCAGTCTTTTGAGGGAGACAGATCAGTAATGGAAGCTTTCTAATGTACAGCTAAGTAAACGGTGATCAATAGTGTTAGGTAAAGTGTGGAGGAGAGGTCCGTGAACAATCCTGGGGAGATGACACTATTGTTTTATCTTGTTAATGCATTTACTTCACAGAATCACAGGATAATGGAATTGGACGGCACCATGAGATCAGCAGGCCCATCTCTTCCTGTACAGATGAGGAAACTAAAGTGGTGAAGGGTAGTGAAGCCACTTAGCCAAAGCCATTGGGTGACAGATCTGGGAATAGAACTTGGATCTTTAGATTCCCAGCCCAGGGCTCTTTCCACTGTACCTGGGGGCCTTTGGACTCCCCCTCCCCTCTCCTCTTATTCTGTTAATCCCCAAGTCCTTTGATTTTCCCCATGAAGGTCTCTCCAATCTCTCCACTTTTCCTCATCCCCACATCACCAGGCTCTAAGCCTCCAACATCATCTCCAGCCTGAGCACCTACCCTCACCTCCTACCTCATCTCTCTGCTTCTAGTCTTGCCCTGCTCAGATGCCTTCTCCACTCTGCCGCCAAAATGAGCCTCACAGATGTACGCATGTCTGTCCCTGGCTTAGAACTCCAGTGGCTTCCCACCAGGCTTTTAGAAATATACTCAAAATTCTTATATGGTGTATTAGTCAGCTCAGGCTGCCATAACAAAATATCCTAGACGGGGTGGCTTAAACAACAGAAGTTTATTTCTCACAGTTCTGGAAGCTGAGAAGTCCAAGACCAAAGTGCTGGCAAGGTCAGCTTTATTCAGACTTTCAGAGTCCTCTTTTCTTTCTTTCTTTTATTTTATTTTATTTTATTTTTTTATTTTTTTTGAGACAGCATCCTGCTCTGTTGCCCAGGCTGGAGTGCAATGGCGTGATCTCGGGTTCAAGTGATTCTCCTGCCTCAGCCTCCCGAGTAGCTGTGACTGCAGGTGCCCGCCACCACACCCAGCTAATTTGATACTTTTAATAGAGACGGGGTTTCACCATGTTGGCCAGGATGGTCTCGATCTCTTGACCTTGTGATCTGCCTGCCTCGGCCTCCCAAAGTGCTGGGATTACAGGCGTAAGCCACCACGCCTGGCCTCTTTCTTTCTCTTTTTTTTTTTTTTTTTTGAGACAGAGAGAGTCTTGCTCTGTCACCCAGGCTAGAGTGCAATGGCATGATCTCGGCTCACTGCAAACTCTGCCTCCCAGGTTCAAGTGATTCTCCTGTCTCAGCTTCCTGAGTAGCTGGGATTACAGGCGCCCACCACCATGCCTGGCTAATTTTTGATTTTTAGTAGAGACGGGGTTTCACCATGTTGGCCAGGCTGTTCTCAAACTCTTGATCTCAGGTGATCCACCCTCCTCAGCCTCCCAAAGTGCTGGGATTACAGGTGTGAGCCACCGCACCTGGCCCAGAGTCCTCTTTACTTCGTTGTAGGTGGCCGCCATTTTGCTCTGTACTCACATGGCCTCTTCGTGCATGTGGGGAGAGAGAGCTCTCTTGTGCATCCTGTTCCTTTTATAAGAACACCAGTCCCATCAGATTAGGGCCTCACCCTTAGGACCTCATTTAACCTGAATCACCTAAAAACCCTATCTCCAAATATAGTCGCATTGAGAGTTAGGGGTTCAACATACGAATTTGGGGGGACACAATTCATTCCATAGTGTAGGGTCCACTGGGCCTTTTTTGGTTGAGCCCACCTTACCAGCCTCTTCTAAACCCAACTCACCTCTCTGTCTGTACGCTTTTATATCTTGGAATTTTTTTGGTTCCTCCGACTTGTCTGGATCTCTTGTAGCTCAGGTTCCCCCTCCCCCTGCTCTGATGTTTTTATATTTTCATCATTTTCAAGTCTCAGTTTGAACATTAGCTTCTAGGAGAGGCCTTCCCTGATCTGCATCCTGTGTTAGGTCCTCTGGCTATACATGCCTATGGTACCCTGAACTCCACCTTGTGTAAGAGTCACCACCTCAGTCCTGTGTGTTTCATATCTGTCCTTCTGAGCTCCACAAGGCAGGAAGATCTCTGTCTGGTTGGTTGCAGTATCCCCAGGGCTAGCACAGTGCCTGGTGCCTACTAAGCAGTCAAGATTAACTTTTACTGGTAGATGCTCAATACATTTCCATTGACCTGAGCTGTCCTCAGAGAGTATATGTATTTTGTTGTCTAATTTGGGTTGAAATCTCTCAGAAGGGTCCTATCTGTTCCTTACTTGAAATCTCCTATCCCGTGCCCATCCTGGGCTCCTTCATTCAGGAAACATTCCCATAAATGATTATTAACTGATCTCCCTACAACTTTCCCAACATGTATCACATTTGAAGGAACAATCATATTTAAAAGAATATGTTACATAGCAGGACAGTTTATTATGAATGTCATGTAACAACAATCTACTGAGAATTAAAAAGAAACTAAAGTGTTCCTCTCCTCTCCCACCTCTGGGCAACCAGGACTTCATTTCTTTGAAATTGTGGATTTCCTGACCCCTGAGGTGTTTGGCTTTTTGTGTATGTTTTAGAAGGAACAGAAAGAATCAGGCTGGGTGGGGCTGTAAAGGAAACCCACCCTAAGCAGGCCTCGTTTTGGAAGAGCTGGAAAGATACCTGTGGTGCCAGATGGTATGAGAGTACAGGGTGTGAGGGCAGGAGCCTACTTCTTGGTTGACTCTTAGACTTCCATGGACTCATGGAAAAGAGAAGGGGTGCAGGCTGGGCACAATAGCTCATACCTGTAATCCCAGCACTCTGGGAGGCCGAGGTGGGCAGATCACTTGAGGTCAGGAGTTTGAGACTAGCCTAGCCAACATGGTGAAACCCCGTCTCTACTAAAAATACAAAAATTAGCTGGGCGTGGTGGTGGGTGCCTGTAATCTCAGCTACTCGGGAGGCTGAGGCAAGAGAATCGCTTGAACCTGGGAGGCGGAGGTTGCAGTGAGCTGAAGTCATTCCACTGCACTCCAGCCTGGGCAACAAGAGCAAGACTCTGTCTCAAAAAAAAAAAAAATCAGAATGGTGGTTAGTTTGGAGTGAGGTGGGCAGGAAAGAGGGTGCTACATATTGACTGCAAGGGAAACAAGGGAGACTCCTGGGTTGAAGCTATCTTGTCTAGATGGTGGTTAAATGGGTAAATATAAATGTAAAAGCTCATCGGGTTTGTTTCCTGCTGATAGCCAATTAGTTAATTAATTTAATTTAAAAAAACTAATTGGGGCCAGGTACACCGGCTCATTCCTGTAATCCCAGCACTTTAGGAGACTGAGGCAGGAGGATTGCTTGAGCCCAGATGTTCAAGACCAGTCTGGGCAACATGGTGAAACCCTGTCTCTGCAAAAAATACAAAAATTATCTGGGCATAGTGGTGCACGCCTGTAATCCTAGCTGCTCAGGCTGAGGCAGAAGGATCACTTGAGCCCAGGAGGTTGAAGCTGCAGTGAACCATTATCATGCCACTACTCCAGCCTGGGCAACACAGTGAAACCTTGCTTAAAAAAAGAAAAGAAAAGGAAAAGGAGAAAAACATCAAACTGCATACATTTTTAAAATGAAAAAAGGAAACAAATTACTGACACATGCAATGACTTGGATGAATCTCAAAGGCATTACGCTGAGTGAAAAAAGTTCTCAAAAGTTACAGACTGTATGATTCCATTTATGTGACACTTTTGAAAAGATAAAACGATAGCAACAGAGACTAGATCAAAATAGCAAAATAGCAGGGAGTTTGTCGGGGGCAGGAAAGAGGATGGGACTACAAAGGGGTAGCCCGAGGGAGTGTTTTAGGCAGTGGAGCTATTCTGTTTCAGTGGTGGTGATTACATGATCGATTGTGGTGATTACATGAATCTTTACACATGTGAAACTCATAGGACTGTCCACTGAAAAAAATCAATTTTACTTTATGTTAATTTTTAAAATAAAATTATTTTTAATTAAGAAGAGACCTTCTAGCCCCTCAATAGCGCAGAGGAGTTCCTGAAAGGAGGCGCTAAGGAACTGGCTACCCTGGAAAAGGCATACCACCTTCCCCGCCTTGCCCTGTACCAGGCCTGGGGATCTTCCTGGGCCCTCTGTGGTTCTCACTCTCCTTCCTTGTCCTCCTGCTGGGCCAGAGTGACCCACACATCCCCTCCTTTAGCATCTAAGTCTCGGGGTCTAGGAAGCCAGTGTGCTTTGCTCACTCCTACGTCCCCGGTCCCTGAGACACAGGTACGAGGTGGTTGCTCATTGACAGAGTGAAGGAATGTTCTAGCACCAGGCCTGATCCGTCTTGGCACACTCCACAGGCTTTTCTATGTTTAGCCTCCTTTCCAGCTGCCCAGAGGACACGCCATAGCTGGGAGACATCACTGTCGAGGTGTGGGTCACAAGCTTACCCCTCCCATGAGGCAGGGTTACCAGCTTTCCTATCGTTTGAAGAATTTAGCAATCTGAGTTTATTATTGCTGTCATTCTAATTTTGAAATACATTTTTATTATACAAGAAAATCTGTTCAATTAAAAAAAAAACAGTTAAAAAAAAAGGGAGATCCGGTCCCACTTCCCAGACTCATAACTGTTACTAGATCCTTCTCTATCTATCTAGAAACATTTATGTGAAGGTAGGCATGTATGTCCACATATATGCAACAGATATGATTGTCCCACAGCTCCTGGGCTACAAGTAATGTCTTGTTTCTTTGTGGACTCACTCAAATAGACTCTGGGTCCAGCCCTGCCCACCACTGACTGGAACTCCAGTGTCAGACAGTTTTCAGGCTCCCTCCCTCAGGTCATACAAGATGCCCAGACTGATGCAGTACTGATGAAACGGAAGAGTCTGTTCCTCTGGCCACATGGTCAGCACTTGCCAGCTGCTTGCCCAGGTCGGTGGGGACCATTATGAGTCAGGCTGCTGGTGGGGTGTGGTGGCTCACGCCTGTAATCCCAGCACTTTGGGAGGCCAAGGTGGGTGGATCACCTGAGGACAGGAACTCCTGACCTAAGTGATCTGCTCTCCTTGGCCTCCCAAAGTGTTGAGATTACAGGCGTGAGCCACTGCGCCTGGCCTATTCTGACTTCTGTTACCATAAATTGGTTTTGTCTGGAAGGTTTCTAACAATTGTGGTGCAAGTTTTATAACCCACCTGGTTTTGTCTTGGGAATTAGAAGTCTCTCAATGTTTTGGAGAGAGATTCTGATGCCCCTCACCAGAAGTCATGCTCTGGGGCCAGTGAGCAAAGATGAGCTTCTTATCCTTTTTCTTCCTGGGTTCCAGCAAGCCAAGCCTCACAGCAGTGTCCAAAAAGTTGGTAGAAAAGGCCTAATTTTTTTTTTTTTTTTCAGGCAGAGTCTGGCTCTGTCGCCCAGGCTGGAGTGCAGTGGCGCGATCTCGGTTCACTGCAAGCTCCGCCTCCCGTGTTCCCGCCATTCTCCTGCCTCAGCCTCCCTAGTAGCTGGGACTACAGGCGTCTGCCACCGCGCCCGGCTAATTTTTTTTGTATTTTTTCGTAGAGACGGGGTTTCACTGTGTTAGCCAGGATGGTCTCGATCTCCTGATCTCGTGATCCTCCCGCCTTGGCCTCCCAAAGTGCTGGGATTACAGGCGTGAGACACCGTGCTCGGCCTTTTTTTTTTTTTTTTTTTGAGACAGAGTCTTGGTCTGTTGCCGAGGCTGGAGTGCAGTGGCACCATCTCAGCTCACTGCAACCTCTGCCTCCTGGGTTCAAGTGATTCTCCGGCCTCAGTCTCCCAAGTAGCTGGGATTACAGGCACACACCACCTCGCCAGCTAATTTTTTGTAGTTTTAGTAGAGATAGGGTTTAGCCATGTTGGCCAGGCTGGTCTCGAACTCCTGGCCTCAAGTGATCCGCCCACCTCAGCCTCCTAAAGTGCTGGTATTACAGGCATGAGCCACTGTGCCTGGCCAGGCCTAGCATCTTAAAAACCCAGTGGAGGGGAAGGTCACAGTCCTAGGAATCAAAAGGCATGGGTTCACTTCCTCTCTCTGATATTTGCTGCATGTTCTTGAACAAACTATGTAAACTTCTTGAGCCTCAGCTATTTCATCAGTAAAGTGGGAACAGTAACATCCACTGTGATTATCAGACCTATTTTTAAATACTTGAGGCCCTCTTTCCTTCAAAGGGTGTAAGAAAATTGAACTTTGCCACTCCATTTAACTCCTACCCACTAATCCAGGCGTGGCTACGTGACTTACTGAGGCCAATTAAAATGGTGCCTTCTAGGTGGAAGTTTTAAAAGCTAGTGTATGCTTTTCCACATTTTTTTTTCTCCTTCAACTATAGTAATTGGTGATATTCCACATAGTGGCTGCTCTGTCAACCTGGGTCCTGGAGTTAGGACAATGACAGCTCAGAGCAGAGCCTCGGCCAACCCACCATGGATATGTGGCAGGAGAGTCAATGAAGCTTTGCTGCATAAAAGCCATTGAGATTTGGGGGTTGTTTGTTACTGAAGCATAACCTAGCCTGCTTGGTTGATATACCACATTACACATTTATTACTAAGATTATGTGAAGTAAAATGTTTGGAACTTCTTGGTACATAATAAAGCTGATTTTCTTCCTTTCAGACTCTCCTTTTTTCTTTCTAAGAGTCATGAACCCAGGGATACTTTTTTTTTTGAGACAGAATCTTGCTCTGTTACCCAGGCTGGCGTGCAGTGGCGTGATCATAGCTCACTGCAGGCTTCCCCTCCTGATCTTAAGTAATCCTCTCCCACCTCAGCCTTCCGAGTAGCTGGGATTGCAGACATACCCTGCCATACCCAGCTGATTTTTTTATTTTTTGCAGAGACAGGGTCCCACTATGTTACCCAGGCTGGTCTTGAACTACTGGGCTCAAGTGATCCCCCTGCCTTGGCCTGCCAGAGTGCTGGATTACAGGCATGAGCCACCGCACCTGGCCCCCAGGAATGTTCTTACCAGCTTCTAACCCTGGCTAAAGGGCAATAGAACAGAGAGCCACTCAACCACAAAAGAAAAAGGAAGAAGAAAGGATATAAAGCAACAAAGGTACAGAAATGTAATACAGAGGAAAGGAAAAGAAACAAAGTGATAAAGAAGGCGAGACAAAGTATAAAAACAGGGAAGAAAGAGGTACAGAGGGCCAGGCAGGGTGGCTCACGCCTATAATCCCAGCAATTTGGGAGGCCCAGTCAGATGGATCACCTGAGGTCAGGAGTGCAAGACCAGCCTGGCCAACATGCTGAAACCCCGTCTCTACTAAAAATACAAAAATTAGTTGGCCTTAGTGGTGCAGGCCTGTAGTCCTAGCTACTTGGGTGGCTGAGGCATGAGGATCGCTTGGAACTGGGAAGCAGAGGTTGCAGTGAGGTGAGAGTGCGCCACTGCACTCCAGCCTGGGCCACAGAGTGAGATTCTGTCTCAAAAAATAAAAAATAAATAAATAAATAAAAATAAAAAAAACCAAAACAAAACAAAACAAAAAAACAGGTATAAGGGATGTCTGAGGCATAGACAGAGGTGATTCTCAGAAAAACAAAAGAAAACAAAAGGAAAAACCACTGAGGCAAAGGGAAACTGTATTTCTTGGAATTGTTGGCCCCAACCCCAGGCAAACAACATTTTCCCTTAAGACAAATGAACAAACAAACTTTGGCAAATAGAGCTTCTGGGTGTGCATTTATCAGTCTTTCCACTCGGTTTACTGGGCGCCTACTCTGTGCCTGACATTGTGCTTGGGCTGGCTTTACAGGGGCAACCAAGACCTAGTGCTGGCCTCTGCCTTCAAGGAGCCCCTAGACTGGTGTGAAACAGACACAAGAACAGTTGGGATTCAATCTGGCTTGTGCAATGATGGAAGTGCCAGGAGGAATTAAGGGAAGAGAAGGGGAAGCAGGCCCTGCAAAGGGGCTTTCTGGAAAATTTGAGCCTGAGTGTCTTGAAGGATAACTAGGAGTTAGCAATGGCAAGGTTTCTGAGGAGAAAGAGGGACCACGATGGGCAGAGGGGCAATAGGAGCCAGGTAGCTGCAGGTAGTCTGGGGTTGCTGGACCCTTGATGAGAGGCTGTGGGCAGCAGGAGATGAGGCTGGAGAGGGATTCAGGGTCCTATCACAGAGACTCAAATGTTAAGATGTTGGTCTTTAAGTGGATGGGCTCGGGGATATTTGGGCTGTTATGTGGGGAAGTGACATGGTCAGATTTTTAGCTAAATTGCTCTGCCTGCCATGTGGACAGTGTGTTGGGGCAGCATTTCTTTGCATGAGGTCTCTGGGGATTGGGCTGAATACCCAACCAGCCCAGGGCCTGCAAGTGGACAGGATGGCCTCTGGAAGAATCATCCTAGCCGCTGCTTCATCAGTGTCTCAGGGGAGTGATGGCTATCTGCGGTGGTGGCGTTGGGGTAAAAGAATTTACCAGCCGGGCGTAGTGGCTCACGCCCATAATCCCAGCACTTTGGGAGGCCGAGGCGGGTGGATCACCTAAGGTCAGGAGTTTGAGACCAGCCTGGCCAACATGGTAAAACTCTGTCTCTACTAAAAATACAAAAGTTAGCCGGGCGCGGTGGTGGGTGCTTGTAATCTAATCTCAGCTACTCGAGAGGCTGAGGCAGGAGAATTGCTTGAACCTGGGAGGCGGAGCTTGCAGTGAGCCGAGATTGCGCCACGGCACTCCAGCCTGGGTGACAGAGTGAGACTCCATCTCAAAAAAAGAAAAAAAAAATTTACCAAGGCAGTTGTAGGTAGAGAAAGGCAGATTTATTACAGTAATTAGGAAAACGCCAGGGTTGCAGCGAGGTAACTTGCATTTTTTTGTCAGCTGGGATGTCTGGAAAGTTGAAGTGTTTGATGGTAAGCAGGAAGTTTGTGAGTTCTGTTATCTGAGTAGGAGCTGGGGCTTGTAAAGCAGCCAACAGTTGAGCCTGCCTTTTGGCTCCGTGTTTGTTTTTTTCTTAGTCTTGTCCTCCTTATTTTGTTCTTGGTTATAAAGACTGAGGAGGCTAATTTGGTAATTTTCTGCATAGGGGTCATGCTGTGTTATACAAGAAAATTAGATGTTTCTTTTTGAGAGTTTGGCGGTAGAATTTGTCACAATTCTTTACAGCCTAGAGGCAAGTTTGCAGGAACGGACGGGGTTTGCTCCATGGTGGGACTGGAAAACATGCCGCTCTGGGGCAATGTCAATCAGGGACATGAACTGCACTTTTCTGCGGGGGGCATCTCACTGAGATGAACAGAGGGTTCCACTTACATCCACAGAGGGACTTGGATGCACTTTCCAAAGGGGGCATCCCACCAATTAGAAAAGACCTCCTGGCCGCTCAGGGGCCTCATGCTGGATGGCCAGTCCAGGCACTCACTTATGCTGGGTGATCAGCCCAGGCACGAGGAAAAAGAAGGGTAAAGGAAGATCTCTACCTGGTCTTGGCCCAGGAGGTGGGGTGGGTAAGAGAAGACTCACCATTCTGAGGCTGTCTGACATCACCTGATTTAGCAAGGCCCAGAACAGGATGGCTGGCTGACTCCATAGGTGAATTTAGAGTGAGAAAGAGAGCGTCTGAGTTACCTAAAACGTGTGTGAGTTTGCCCCGAACAAGCTTCTGCTGTCAATTGTGTCACATATAGGGATGAGGGACTTGCAATTAGAGAAGATGGGCAACAGCCTTTCTCCCTTCCAGGCAGGGCAGCTAGCCCTGTTCACTCTGGGCCTTCAGGCAACACTGGAGAGTGGCCCTGGCCAGTTACCTTTGATTGCCAGAGAGATACTAGAAGCTGGTTGCTGAAAGACTGAAAAAAGAAAAAAAGTCAGGTCACTCACCCAAACCAGGCAATGATGATCAGATGCTTCCACATGGACAGACACCTTTCAGTCTCACTGGAGTGTAGCTCTGGCCAGAGACCTGCAATTGTCTTTGTGCTTAGATGCTGTCCTTCGAGGGTCCCGAGTTGGGAAAGGGAAAGGAGAGAGAGTCCCTGTATGGAGAGGGAGAGTTCCCTGTATGGGCCACCAAAATGTTTCAGGGGAGCAACGGCTATCTGGGCTGGCGGCTCAGGGGTAAGAGAATTTACCAAGACAGTTGTAGGTAGAGAAAGGCAAATTTATTAGAGAAAGTAGAAAAACAGGAGAGCAATGGGCAGGAGAGCAACGGGCAGGCCAGCAGAAGAGGAGCTGACTGCAAGGAAACAAAGGCTTGTTGGGGATTTTGTAGGATGGCTCTTAGGCTGTAGAGTGTTATGTGCAGTACTGATTATGCCAGGGTAGCAGGGAGGTAACTTGCATTTTTTTTTTTTTTTTTGTCAGCCAGGGTGTTTGATAAATTGAGGTGTTTGATGGTAAGCAGAAGTTTTTGAGTTATGTACATTATCTGAGCAGGAGGGCCATATGTCTTGGGCCATTTGCCTCATTTCTTTGCTTTCCCCTGGTCCCACCAGCCTGATTTGTTTTTTAATTATTACTCAACAGTGAGTGCTGTCACATGCTGGGCATTGTGCTATGTGCTCTATGTGGAGTAACTCACTTACTGTCCCCCTATCCCCCAAGACCATCCTGTGACATGGGCATTCTTTTTTTTTTGAGATGGAGTCTTGCTCTGTCACCAGGCTGGAGTGCAGAGGTGTGATCTTGGCTCACTGCAACCTCCGCCTTACGGGTTCAAGCGATTCTTCTGCCTCAGCCTCCTGAGTAGCTGGGACTACAGGTGCGTGCCACCACGCCCAATTAATTTTTGTGTTTTTAGTAGAGACGGGTTTTCACCACGTTGGCCAGGATGGTCTCAATCTCTTGACCTGGTGATCCACCTACCTCAGCCTCCCAAAGTCCTGGGATTACAGGCGTGAGCCACCACACCCGACCAGACATGGGCATTCTTATCCTCATTTTGACTGAGTAACTGGGCACAGAGAGGCTGTTATGCATCCCAATTGCAGAGCTAGGCAGCGGCAAGCCCACTTTCACACAGTGCCAGCTGCCTGGCTCTGGGATCAGCCTGTAGTCACTCTCCATTCTGCCCCTCAGGATCTGCTTCTCCCAGGAAGCCTCTCACAGAGGCAGAATTTTGCATTGGCATCCTGCTTCAAGCTTATGAAATCTTCTATACAGATGACCTCATTCCAGCCTTGCAATAATAGCTTCTGTGAGGTATTATTATTCATAGCTTTAAAAAAGCCAGTTGAAGGAAATCCAGTGATTTGTCAAAGGTCAGAAGTTAGGTGGCCGCTCTCCTGCTCAGACTTACGTTTTCTGACTTGGAGTACAGTGCTCCGCTCTCACGTTATCTGTCAGCTGACGCTGCAGCCAGCCTCATACTCAACACATCACATGGTTCGAAGGCTAGGCCACTTTCCACTACTATTGAGCTGCCTCCTCTCTAGGAAAATGCTTTTCTGGATTGAGGGAGACAGTCATAGAGAAATGTGTTGTTGGCATCGATTTCCTATGGTTGGGCAATGGCTTCCGCCATCTGGACCAGGTGACGTCAGCTATCTGGATTTCTGCCAGCATTCCCCGGCCCAGGAAACAGACTTCCGGCTGTCTGGGCTCTGAGCCATCTTCGGCCTCCTGGGTGAGTGGGTCTTGCAATTCGCAAAGTGAGGAACTGAAAAGTCAGCTCTCAGGGAAGATTTCACTGTATAAAGTCAGGTAAAAATGGGGAAGAGGCATACTGGGTCAGAGAGACAGGGAGCCCTTCTATCTGAGTCTGGGGCCTTTCTCAGATGAGAGGGGAGGATCTAGTGATCAGACAGGGAAATTGAAGATCTTTGTGACTAAGACTCAAGTCAATTGGGGGTAGATGAGGAGTAAGGTAAGCAAAGCTAAAGAAATCTGGGGAAAGATACACATAAAGATACAAACACAGAAGGTCAAATACTGGCCAAGGATAGAATGTTGATCCCAAAACTCATGCACTTTTCTGTGGACACTGAGACTTGAACAAATCAATAACTTGAGAATGTAAGCAGCCCTCTGCCATGTTATACTTTGTTGAGTTATATAACAGTTGGGGGAAAACCTAAACAATGGTACATGTGTTAAGGTAGACAGTTAAATTGTCCCTCCACCACTCCCTGTCTCATTCCCAACCCTGCTCTCCAGGCCAGGCTCATAAAAGTTGTTACTCATTTTAGCCATTCCTTCAGCCAATATTCATCTTATTCATTCTTACAATCACCCTGTGAGGTAAGAGCTATCATTATGCCTTTATTTTGAAAATTGTAGTAAAATAGACATAGAATTTAGCATTTTAACTGTTTGTAAACATACAGTTCAGTGGCATTAGGTACATCCACATTATTGTGCAACCATCACCATCAGCCACATTCAGAACTTTTTCATCTTCCCCCACTGAAACTCCACCCAGCAAACAATACCTTCACATTCCCCACTTTCCTTAGCCCTGGCAACCACCATTCTACTTTCTGTAGAATGTAACCACTTTAGATGCCTTTTATTTTATTTTTTATTTATTTGTTTTTTTGAGACGGAGTCTTTCTCTGTCACCAAGCCAGAGTGCTGTGGCACGATCCTGGCTCACTGCAACCTCTGCCTCCTGGGTTCTAGTGATTCTCCTGCCCCAGCTTCCCGAGTAGCTGGGATTACAGGAACACGCCACCACGCCCAGCTAATTTTTGTATTTTTAGTAGAGACGGGGTTTCACCATGTTGGCCAGGATGTAGGTGCCTTTTATAAGTGGAATAATAGGCTGGGCGCGATGGCTCACACGTGTAATCCCAGCACTTTGGGAGACCAAGTCTGATGGATCACTTGAGGTCAGGAGTTCGAGACCAGCCTGTCCAATATGGCAAAACCCCATCTCTACTAAAAATACAAAAATTAGCTGGGCATGCTGCCGTGTGCCTGTAATCCCAGCTACTTGGGAGACTGAGGCACAAGAATTGCCTGAACTCGGGAGGCAGAGGTTGCAGTGAGCTGAGCTCATGCTACTGCACTCCAGCAAGATTCTGTCTTAAAAAAAGTGGAATCGGCCGGGCATGGTGGCTCACGAGTGTAATCCCAGCACTTTGGGAGGCCGAAGTGGGCGGATCACCTGAGGTCAGGAATTCAAGACCAGCCTGGCCAACATTGCGAAACCCCGTCTCTACTTAAAATACAAAAATTAGCTGGGCGTGGTGGTGGGCGCCTGTAATCCCAGCTACTTGAGAAGCTGAGGCAGAAGAATCGCTTGAACCCAGGAGGCGAGGTTGTGGTGAGCCGAGATCGCTCCAGCCTGGGTGACAGAGCAAAACTCTGTCTAAAAAAAAAAAAAAAGGTGGAATCATAAAATATTTTTCCTCTTGTGATTGGCTTTTTTTTTTTTTTGAGACAGACTTTTGTTCTTGTTGCCCAGGCTGGAGTGCAATGGCACAATCTTGGCTCACCGCAACTTTTGCCTCCCAGGTTCAAGCTATTCTCCTGCCTCAGCCTCCCGAGTAGCTGGGATTATAGGCATGCACCAACACACTGGGCTAATTTTTTGTATTTTTGGTAGAGACAGGGTTTCTCCATGTTGGTCAGGCTGGTCTCAAACTCCTGACCTCAGGTGATCCACCCGCCTCAGCCTCCCAAAGTGCTAGGATTACAGGCATGAGGCACCACGCCCGATCATGATTGGCTTTTATTTCACTTAGCAGGATGTCTTCAAGGTTTATCCACATTGTAGTGCATATCAGAATTTTCTTTTTAAAAAAATATTCCATTATATGTATATATGTATTATACAATTTTTTTTTTTTTGGGTGGAGACAGAGTCTCCTTCTGTTGCCCAGGCTGGAATGCAGTGGTGCGATCTCAGCCCACTGCAACCTCAGTCTCCCTGGCTCAAGTCAACCTCTCACCACCTTAGCCCCCTGAGTAGCTGGGACTACAGGTATGCACCACCATGCCTGGCTAATTTTTGTGTTTTTGGTAGAGATGAGGTCTCATCAAGTTGCCCAGGCTGGTCTCGAACTCCTAGGTTCAAGCAATCCTCCCACCTCAGCCTCCCAAAGTGCTTGGATTACAGGTGTGAGCTACCAGGCCTGGCCACATTTTGCTTATTCATTCATCTATTGATGGACACTTGGATGGCTTCCACTTTTTGGCTATTGTGAATGATGCTGCTGTGAATGTGGGTATACAATTTAATAACATTTATATTGAGATACAATTGACATACTATATAATTCACCTTGTAAGAGGTGGAGGTTGCAGTGTGGTGAGCCGAGATCATGCCCCTGCACTCCAGCCTGGGGGGTACAAAGTGAGACGCCATCTCAAAAAAAAAAAAAAAATCCACCCTTTAAAAATGTACAATGAAATGTGTTTTTTTTTTTTTTTTTTTTTTTTGAGACAGAGTCTCACTCTATTGCCCAGGTTGGAGTGCAGTGGCTCAGTCTTGGCTCACTGCTACCTCTGCCGCCCTGGTTCAAGCGACACTCCTGCTCAGACCAGAGTAGCTAGGATTATAGGCTCCTGCCACCGTGCCCGGCTAATTTTTGTATTTTTAGTAGAGATGGGGTTTCACCATCTTGGCCAGGCTGGTCTTGAACTCCTGACCACGTGATCCACCCACCTCGGCCTCCCAAAGTGCTGGGATTACAGGCGTGAGCCGCCGCGCCCGGCAGAAATGGTTTTTAGTATATTCACAGAGTTGTGCAACCATCACCACAATTTTGGAACATTTTCATCACACTCAAAGACGTCCCATGCTCATTAGCAGTCATTTCCGGTTTTACCCCCAATCTCTCCCCTTCCCAGCCTTAAGCAACCACTAATCTACTTTTTGTCTCTATAGATTTGCCTACACTGGACATTTCATATAAACAATCATACGATATGTGGCATTTTATGTCTGGCTTCTTTCACTTAGCATAGTGTTTTCAGTGTTGTAGCATGAATCAGTACTTTCTTTTTATTGTTGAATACTATTTCATTGTATGGATATACCATATTTTATTTATACATTCATCAGTTGATGGACATTTATACTGTTTCCAAATTTTAGCTATTATGAATAATGCTAGTGTGAACATTCATGTATAAGATTTTGTGTGGACATCCATTTTCTCTTTGGTATACACTTAGGAGTGGAATTTCGAGGTCATTAACTTTATGTTCCACTTTTGAGAACTGCTTTCCAATGTTGCTGAGCCATTTGACATTCTCACCAGCAGTGTATGAAGGTTCCAGTTTCTCCAGTCTGTCTTTTTGATTCTAGCCATCTTAGTGGGTATGAAGTGGTATTTCATGGTGGTTTAGATTTGCATTTTCTTGGTGGTTAATGATGTTGAATATCTTTTTTTTTTTTTTTTTTTGAGATGGAGTCTCACTCTGTCGCCCAGGCTGGAATGCAGTGGCACGATCTCAGCTCACTGCAACTTCTGCCTCCTGGGTTCAAGCGATTCTCCTGCCTCAGTTTCCTGAGTAGCTGGGACTACAGGTGTGCACCACCACTCCTGGCTATTTTTTTATATTTTTACTAGAGATAGGGTTTCAGCATGTTGGCCAGGCTGGTCTCAAACTCCTGACCTCAAGTGATCCGCCCACCTCGGCCTCCCAAAGTGCTGAGTCACCGCGCCTGGCCTGAACGTCTTCTCATGTGCTTATTGGTCATTTGTATACCTTTGGAGAAATGTTTATTCAGATCCTTTGCGTATTTTTTAATTGAGTTGTCTTTTTATTATTGAGTTGTAAGAGTTTGTTATAAATTCTAAATATAAGTCTCTTAACTGATACATAATTTACAAATATTTTATCCCATTCTATGGGTCTTTTTTACTTCTTTCTTTCTTTCTTTCTTTCTTTTCTTTTTTTTTTTTTTTAATAGCGACAGGGTCTCGCTTTGTTGCCTAGGCTGATCTCGAACTCTTGGGCTCAAGCAATCCTCCTGGCTTGGCCTCCCAAAGTGCTTGGGCTACAGGCATGGGCCACCATGCCCAGCCTATTTTCTTAATGTCCTTTGAAGCACAAAAGTTTTAAATTTTGAAGTCCAATTTATCTATTTTTTTTTCCTGCTTGTGCACTGTGTCATAGCTAAGAAACCACTGCCTAGTCTGTGGTCACAAAGATTTACATCTGTCTTTTCTTCTAAGAATTTAATAGTTTTTATCTCTTCCATGTAGGTCTTTGATCTATTTTGAATAAATTTTTGTCTATGGTATGAGGTAAGGGTCCAACTTCATTCTTTTGCATGTGCATATCCAGTGGTCTCAGCATTAGTATGCCTTGTTATGGAGGAATAAATTTTCAGCTTCGTAAGAAAAGGACCATGGGCCTGGCAAGGTTGCTTATGCCTGTAATCCCAGTACTTTGGGAGGCCAAGGTGGGAGCATCTCTTGAGCCCTGGAGTTCGAGACCAGCCTGGGCATTAGAGTGAGACCCCGTCTCTACTTAAAAAAGAAAAGGAGGCCGGGCGCGGTGGCTCACGCCTGTAATCCCAGCACTTTGGGAGGCCGAGGCGGGCGGATCACGAGGTCAGGAGATCGAGACCATCCCGGCTAAAACGGTGAAACCCCGTCTCTACTAAAAATACAAAAAATTAGCCGGGCGTAGTGGCGGGCGCCTGTAGTCCCAGCTACTTGGGAGGCTGAGGCAGGAGAATGGCGTGAACCCGGGAGGCGGAGCTTGCAGTGAGCCGAGATCCCGCCACTGCACTCCAGCCTGGGCGACAGAGCGAGACTCCGTCTCAAAAAAAAAAAAAAAAAAAAAAAGAAAAGGAAAGAAAAGAAAAAGGACTGTGCCCGGTTTTGCTCACCATTATCTTCCCAGGATTCTCTTAGCCCCATGCAAGACACATGCTACATGCTCAATAAATATAGCTTGAGTGAGTGAACATATGAGTGACTGAGACTCAGTGTGGTTAAATAACTTGCATAGGTCAGTCAGTTGGAAGGTGGCCAGATATGGCTCAAACCCAGATCTTCTCATCTAATTCTTTTTTTTTTTTTTTGAGATGGAGTCTTGTCGTCAGGCTGGAGTGCAGTGGCGTGATCTCGGCTCACTGCAACCTCCACCTCCCGGGTTGAAGCGATTCTCCTGCCTCAGCCTCCTGAGTAGCTGGGACTACAGGCGCGCACCACCACGCCCAGCTAACTTTTGTGTTTTTAGTAGAGACAGGGTTTCACCATGTTGGCCAGGATGGTCTCGATCTCTTGACCTCATGATCCGCCTGCCTCGGCCTCCCAAAGCGTTGGGATTACAGGCATGAGCCACTGCACCTGGCCTTCTCATCTAATTCTAATTAAGAGTTTTTGTATAATACTTCAAAGTTTCTGAAAATTTCCTGAGTTACCAAAAGCTCTTTGTCACAAGAAACCATATTTCTCAGGCTGGGGGTGGTGCTCACGCCTGTAATCCTAACACTTTGGGAGGCTGAGGTGGGTGGAATACCTGAGGTCAGGAGTTCGAGACCAGCCTGGCCACATGGTGAAACCCTGTCTCTACTAAAGTACAAAAATTAGCCGGGCGTGGTGGCAGGCACCTGTAATCCCAGCTACTGGGGAGGCTGAGGCAGGGAATCGCTTGAACCCGGGGGCAGAGGTTGCAGTGAGCCGAGATCATGCCACTTCACTCCAGCCTGGGCAAAAGAGTGAGAATCCGTCTCAAAAAAAAAAAATAAATAAAATAAAAATAAAAATAAAAAATAAAAAGAAACCGTATTTCTCCAAAGTTTCATTTGCTGTCTCTGCTGTATGATCCCAATCATTTCATTGTTTGTGAGCAGCAAAACTAAAATCTAGGGAGCCTCATGTCCCTTCTGCTTCTGACTCCTCCCCTACTCGAGCCACAGAGTCAAAGATTCCACTTCCTTCTAGGGTAGTTTTATAGTTGGAAAGTTCTTCTAAATCTCTGACCACAACCTCCTGCTGCAAAATTGTGCAATAAATCCCCATGAGTGTTCAGTGTAACCATTGACTATAGGACCTGGTTTGATGTGGGAGGCATTTGGGGCTTGCGGAAAGCTTTATGTGCTCTGCCCCGTACAAAGGGCAGCCTTGGGGCAGCCGATGCCCTTGCTCTGGCCCTGACATGCTGCTCCCTTTTTGAAGTGTGATTTCTGATTCTGGGTGCAGCTTGCCATATCAGAGGAGAATGAAGCTAGGTGGCATGAACCCCAGAAAATTTTGATGAACTCACCTCTTGGAATGAGGACAAAGGAGAGTCTTGAAGTAGAAAAGAGCTGTGCTCCTTGAAGGGGTCCAAAGTTAAAGCTCACACTGGGGTGGATTGGGTAGACTTACCTGTCCCCTCTTTGACAGTGTTGCATTTGAGCTTCTCCTATTGGGTCCTTTGGAAAAGAATTCTTTGAACTACTAGAAAATTAGGACAGGGTGGGGGCAAAAGAAAATGTATATTGAGAGCTTGCTCCATGTATTTGTTAGGCATTTAATCTAGGTATCTAATTTTATCTTCAAAGTAATCCTGTGGGTTGGTTTTATCAATCCTATTTTGCAGAGTTGGATGCTGAAACTTGCAGTCACACAAGGACTTGAACCTAGAGCTTTTCTAAAGCCCGTACTCTTTCCAGTACCCTGAGCCAGGGGAGCCAGCGGGCAGAAATGACGTGTGAGGTACCCTCTTTCCCTTCACTTCCATGTGATCTGTTACTCATTTTGTCAAGACATCCTGGGTCCCAGGTAAGCTCCAGTGATTCCCCTGAACCAGTGGTGTGCTGGAGCCAGCTCAGACCTGCTAGTGAGAGTGTTAAATATTCAGGAAATTTGCAAGCTGTTTGTTAAACTGTCAGTGGTTGGAAATTGGTCATGGGAGGAAGTATCTACACCACGGAATAACTACACACGGATAACTACTACAAATCAGGGATCCCCATCTCCCCCACAAGCTGGTTTGCTAACACATCACTGTCTTTTTTTTTTTTTTTTTTTTTTTTGAGACAGAGTCTCACTCTGTCGCTCAGGCTGGAATGCTGTGGCGTGATCTTGGCTCAGTGCAGCCTCTGCCTCCCAGGTTTAAGCAATTCTCCTGCCCAAGTAGCTGGGATTACAGGCACGTGCCACCATGCCTGGCAATTTCTGTATTTTTAGTAGAGACAGGGTTTCGCAATGTTGGCCAGGCTAGTCTTGAACTCCTGGCCTCAAGTGATCCACCAGACTCGGCCTCCCAAAGTGCTGGGATTACAGGTGTGAGTCACCGCGCCCGGCCCAGAGCACTAACATTGGGGTCCAGAGTGAGAGCTGAAGAGAACAGGGCCTGCCCCCAGCAGTCACAGAGTTTCAGCTGCAGACTGAGGGAAGACCGATAGTATCTATGGGAAAGTGTGTGCACAAAAGAGACAGAAAAGAGGCTGGAGAATATTGATTATTCACACATGAACAAAGTAAGTACCAATGTTATTAATCCCAGGGATTTTGCTGGGAGGAGTTCTGGCTTGTTATTAGGGTCCTTTTCTTTCAGATCAAGAAAAGGGAGATCTAATTCATGAAGAAACTAGAAAAGTGCCCTGGATTGGTGGGAGTGTGGTGGGGGTGGTGCTGCACAACACAGAAGAGGGGAACTTTGACTTTGAGCCTGAGGTCTTGGGATGAAAAGCAGTTTGTGGACTGGATTCCTGACCCTGGGGTTACAGTAGGAATCCCTTTGCCTGACAGGTGGTGACCTTCCTCTGGCAAGGTCCCCAGACTCCTAAGGCAGAAGCAATCCTCCCATCTCAGTCTGCCAAGTAGCTGGGACTACAGGTGCTCACCAACACACCTGGCTAATTTTTGTGTTTTTTTGGTAGAGATGGGGTTATGCCATCTGGCCCAGGCTGGGATCTGTGAAGAGCAGAACAACTCTAAGCCCCAGGGCAAAAATCTGCAGAGCTGAGTCTCATGCCACTTTGGGGCACTCCATCTGAGGCCTGGAATCAGAGGCCTTCCGCAGCTTGTGTAGATGCTGCCAAAAGGCTGAGCTCGGTGGCCCATGCCTGTAATCCCAGCACTGTGGGAGGCTGAGGCAGGCAGATTACTTGAACCTAGGAGTTTGAGACCAGCCTGGGCCACATGGTGTACCCCCATCTCTACAAAAAATATAAAAATTAGCCAGGTGTGTTGGTGAGCACCTGTAGTACCAGCTACTTGGGAGGCTGAGGTGGGAGGATTGCCCCAGGGGTTTGAGGCTGCTGTGAGCCATGATCATGCCACTGTACTCCAGCTTGGGCAACAGAATGAGACCCCATCTCAAAAACAACCAAAAAGATGCTGCAAAGAAACAGCAGCCTCCTGTAACAAAATAAGTGGTACATCTTTTGTGATGGGAGCATCTCCCTGGGGAGCGAAGCTGGACGTTGCAGCCCTACCCTGTCCCCAGAGGTTTTTCTGTCCCTTTATGTCTATGAACAAGTATAGCTGAGGCCATCAGCACTGCACACACCTGGAACAGTCTTGTTAAAACAGGACCTCCCTAAAGGCCAAGAGCTAAGGAAAGAGAAAGTGAAGGACTGAGCAGCAGGTAACCAGAATCGGAGTCATTGAAGGCAACTGCAGGAGTTGCCCCTTCCTGGCTCCCTCCCATGGCAACTCCCTGAGTCTGAGTAGAGAAGGTTAGAGACGTATGGAGGTTCCCACCCCTCCTGTGAAAGGCTCCCTTCTGAGTTCCAGGTCCCTATCTGATGACCCACCTCACCTATGCCTGCCTAATACCTGAATGGCCATCTCTTTCAGAGACCACTCTTATTCCCAGGTGTGTGACCTCCTCCTACAGAGTACAGTGGGAAAGACACCATCTCCAGGTAACCCCAACACAGTGAGGGGTGGAGCGGGGATGTGGTCATTCGTTCCAGGTATTGTTGATTCTCTTGAGGTTCAATCCAGGGCTAGAGATTGTGATTAAAGAGATACCCAGATTGGGTATGCGTGCAAAGGGCAAGAGCTATGAGACCAATGTGACATTTAGGATTAATTAGTCCCTTCCACAGGGCAGGCTGCCACTCACTGGTACAGCTCCTGGGCTGAGCCTGGCAGAGCTCATTAGCAAGGCAGACACTGGAATGTGTGTGCAATGGAGGGAGGCTTAAACTCAGAGGCTGCTGGTTCCTATTAAGCAGAGAGAGGTTAGAACTTAGTGGCACAGAAACTGATATCAGCTAAATATGGGTTAGTCACCAACCCTGCACCATCTTCCCTAACCTTTGAGAAAGTCTTTTCCTACTGCTTGTTCACATCCATTCATTCAACAAACAATTATGAATTTTCTCTTAGGTGCCAGGTGCTACACAAGATACTGGCTATAGCAGCGAACAGGACAGCCCGTCTCATCCTCATGGAGGTCACAGGACAATGAGAAGAAAGACTTTTTTATTTTTATTTTTTTGAGACGGAGTTTTGCTCTTGTTGCCGAGGCTGGAGTGCAGTGGTGTGATCTCGACTCACTGCAACCTCCGCCTCCCAAGTTCAAGCAATTATCCTGCCTCAGGCCTCTTGAGTAGCTGGGATTACAGGCACCTGCCACCACTCCTGGCTAATTTTTTGTATTTTTAGTAGAGACAGGGGTTTCATCATGTTGGCCAGGCTGGTCTCGAACTCCTGACCTCAGGTGATCCACCCACCTCGGCCTCCCAAAGTGCAGGGATTACAGGCATGAGCCATCGAACCCGGCCCAAGAAGAAAGACATTGAACAAGTAATTACAGGGTATTGGGTGTTATGAAAGAAAAGCATGGTACTGTATAATGAGGTCATCTAATTTAGTCTGGGGTGACAAGGAATGCCTACTAAAGAAGGTATCGTTTAAGACATACCTGGGGAATAGCGGTAGTGAAAATAGAAGCTCCAGAAATGCAGGGACCATGGCTGACATGTTTACCATGCCAGTGTCTGGCATGGAAGAGGCCCAATTCCTTTGGTTGAAAGGATGAAGTAATCTAGCTGAATAAAGGGTGTGTGCGTGCACGCAGGTGTGTTTGTAGTTAACCTTCCTTTAGCTCAGCTTAGGAAACAGCTTTTGTAAAACTGCGTAACTAGTAGTAGGTGAGAGAGGAATACGAATGATATACACACCATTAAAGACAACTTACTAACAGCATGAGTCCGACATAGATTCCTTCCTACTTGGGTTTGAACCCTGAGCCCACCACTTACTAGCTGTGAGAAAGTGAATGAGTTGCCTCCCTTTCCTGTGCCTCTGTTTCTTGTAAATTCTATTTCCAAGCATCATGAGGATAAAAGACAATGTATATACATTGTTTGGCATATTACAGTCAATGCTTGGTAACTACTATTGTTATTTTTTAAAAAATTATTATTATTATTTTTTGAGACGGACTCTCGCTCTGTCGCCCAGGCTGGAGTGCAGTGGCGCTATCTTGGCTCACTGCAAGCTCTGCCTCTTGGGTTCACACCATTCTCCTGCCTCGGCCTCCTGAGCAGCTGGGACTACAGGCGCCCGCAACCACGCCCGGCTAATTTTTTGTATTTTTAGTAGAGACGGGGTTTCACTGTGTTAGCCAGGATGTTCTCGATCTCCTAACCTCGTGATCCGCCTGCCTCGGCCTCCCAAAGTGCTGGGATTACAGGCGCGAGCCACCGTGCCCGGCCCCACTATTGTTATTTATGTACACCAAATTTATATCCAAAGGGACTTTGATAGTTACAAGAAAAGACATATAAGTCCAGATATCATTGAACAAGAGTAAAATAATAAATCAAGTAGGAATGGAGGGGAGGATATGCATGCAGCACTAGATAATATCTATATATAGAGAGGATGAGGTCTTGGAAGATGAGTCTGAAGACTTTCCTGTTGGAGAGGGGCTCTATGCTCGGCATGCTGACTGCTTTTACAACCCCACCCCCACATCTCATCTTAACCACAAGACAGTCTTGTTCTGGGGAGTTCAGAGCCTTTATTTTTTATTTATTTATTTATTTTTTGAGATGGAGTCTCACTCTGTCACCCTGGCTGAAGTGCAATGGCATGATCTCAGCTCACTACAACCTTTGCCTCCCGGGTTCAAGCGATTCTCCTGCCTCAGCCTCCTGAGTAACTGGGATTACAGGCACGTGCCACCAAGCCCAGCTAATTTTTGTATTTTTAGTAGAGATGGGGTTTCACCATGTTGGCCAGGCTGGTCTCGAACTCCTGACCTCGTGAGCTGTCCACCTCGGCCTCCCAAAGTGCTGGGATTACGGGCGTGAGCCACTGCGCCCGGCCCCAGAGTCTTTATTTGTTATTTAGAGAGGGTCTCACTCTGTCACCCAGGCTGTAGTGTAGTGGTGCGATCTTGGCTCACTGCAGCCTTAACCTCCCAGGCTCAAGCAATCCTCTCACTTCAGCCTCCTGAGTAATTGGGGCCACAGGCTCACACCACCATGCCTGGCTAATTTTTTAAAAAAATTTTTATAGAGACAAGGTCTTGCCATGTTGCCCAGGCTGGTCTTGAACTCTTGGGCTCAAGTGATCCTCCTGCCTCAGCCTCCCAAAGTGCTGGGATTACAGACATCAGCCACCGTGCCCAGCCCAGAATCTTTCAACCCCCAAAATCCATTGGTGTGGGGTTAGATGAGGGATCCTAAAAGGAGAGGGAGGCTGCTGTGCAGTGATCCCACCGGCCTGCTTGCAGGAAGGAGAGCCGACCCTTTCTTGACCTCTACCAAAGACACTAGAGAGCTTTGTAAATCTTCCAATTAGATGATACATAAATACTTCCCCAGGTCTTCTAGGCCTGATTCAATAATATTTACTTCGAGAGGCTGCTGCTTCCTGTTTGTATTCTCTTACCACAAGTTATCTGCTGTTCCTACTTTCACTTAAGCTTTGTATCGTACTCTGTGAGAAATGTTTGAGCTGGCTGGACACATTTCCTGAAATCATTTCTCTAGTCTTTTACGAAATGTCTGCATTTATGCTGGAATCATAGAGCTGAACTATCATTGAGATAAAAATTCCAGTCTTTACCCCAATTTACAATTCCTAAAAACTGTCACTTTCTTAGATCTCTTCACATTTTCATTACTTCTTTTTTTTTTGTTTTTTGTTTTTTGTTTTTTGAGACTGAGTTTTGCTCTTGTTGCCCAGGCTGGAGTGTAACGGTGCGATCTCGGCTCACTGCAACCTCCGCCTCCCAGATTCAAGTGATTCTTCCTGCCTCAGCCTCCTGAGTAGCTGGGATTACAGGCGCCCGCCACCATGCCCGGCTAATTTTTGTATTTTTAGTAGAGACAGGGTTTCACCATATTTGGCAGGCTGGTCTCAAACTCCTGACCTTGGCCTCCCAAAGTACTGGGATTACAGGCGTAAGCCACCACACCTGGCCAGACATTTTCATTGCTTCTATTACCTGTGTAAGCAAGTGGCTTTATTGGGAGGCGATTTTCACAAAGAAACAAGGTTTTTTAAAAAAGGTGTTTCCCGTAGGTTTCTGCCTGTGAGACCACCTGCTGAGAAATGCAGAGCCGCTTTGGGAAGCTGGGTAGTCAGCTCTCATCCATACTCACTCAACCATGCCCAGCTGGGCAGTGCCACTTGTGTCTGAGCCTCAGCAAAACTGCATGTCCCTAAATGTCAGGGGTCTTCACAGACAAGTGAAGCAACCAGAAATACTGAATTTTCAGATGGACATGTTTATCGTACTGAATCTCCATAGCCAGGAGGCACAGACAACTAATAAAGCCCTGTGCCCCATTATTGCTTCATTGATTCACTGAAATAATGCTGGGTATGATTGTGGCTACAGAGTTAAGCCCCATTGTTAATTATATGGTTTGGTGAGGGAAAGAGTTTTTTTTGTTTTTGTTTTGGCTAGACTAATGTAAACACAGTTCAAATGTTGCTCCTTCACTGGGGACAGAAAAATCCATATGTGGCTCACGCCTGTAATCCTAGCACTTTGGAAGGCCAAGGCAGGCAGATTGCTTGAGTCCAGGAGTTTGAGACTGGCCTGGGCAAGATGACAAAACCCTGTCTCTACTAAAAATAAAAAACAAAAAATTAATTTAATTTAAAAAACTGAGGTGAGAGGATCACCTGAGCTTGGGGATGTCAAGGCTGCCATGAGCCATGTTTGTGCCACTGCACTCCACCATGGATGACAGAGTAAGACCCCATCTTAAAAAAAAAATCCACGTAATATAGTTCACATCTTTGCTTCCCATGTAAATTCCTCTTTTTTGTGTGTCACTATCAGTATGTAATTATTGAAACTTCAAGGTATGACTCTTGTTAGGAAATGATAGAGAAAAAACAATTGCTCTATAATCACCCCTTACATTGTGACTTCTTGCAAATAAATACACCCCACTTTCAGCCTCACTCATTTATTATAAAATTGTAAGAGGTGGAACAAGCCTTTGTTTAGAGATGTGATTCATGTGTTGCTTGCTGGAGTTTCTGAAAACAAACAAACAAACAAAAAAACCCAAGATAGCAGATGGCCAGATGAGCCACTGGGAATGGAGCAATGGCTGGTCATGGCTTCTGTCAAACACAAAGCTCTGACTGGAGAAGCTTGGAATCTTCTGGATGTCTTTTGCAAAGATGACAAATTCTTTTAGATAGGCTGCTGCTTGAAGGTAAGATGGAAGAAGCTTTGTTCATTGTATTATGGAGGTCTTTGACCCCCACCTCCTCCCACCCCATGAACTCAGACCTTCCACATTAGACCTGGGCTGTCCCTCAGCATCTTTGCTGCACATTGCATGAAACTTTTCAGTTATTACATATAACTTCCAGGTGTTTGAAATACGAAATGCGTAAGAGACATGTTCCTGAGATGTCGGAGTGAGGTTTCCTTTGAGAGAAGGAAGTGAGGGTTGTTGCCTACAGATTGTTGAGGGTAATAATGGGATGAGGCATAAAAAGGACCTAGCCTAGCAGCAGGCATGTAGTAAGAGCTCAGTAAGTATTACATTTGTTTAATTAGTGTCTGCCTACCAGGTTCAACCCTTGGCTTCATATGTCCAGCAACACTTCCTAACTTGCCCATTCTTGCCCTTCCTTGGGTCCTGCTGTTTATTCTGTTCTCTGAAATAAGGAGTTCCTCCCAGTATTGTAGCTGATAAGGTTAGAGCTCAAAGCAGTTAGGGACCTCAAGAGGTATCCTAGTCTGGTTCCTGGTCTAGATAAAATATTATCCCTTATTGCAGAAGTAGCAACTGAATCTAGGAAAGGTTGAGTGATTTGAGAGACTATAGTAGGCATAGGTGGGGATATTGGCTAATTCTTAGTTCTTCTGACTTAGGAGCATCTAGGTCGTGGACACAGAGTGTCCCTTTTTTCAAAGTGGAGTCCCACAGTGCATCACTTACAGTTATTCTAGCTGCTGGTGGTATTTGGAGGAGTATCCTAAACACTTCTCTTTCCAAATCACAGGCCCAGTTGGGATCAGGAACATCAACTCATATCACATGAGCAGAACTTGTTCATTTGGGGACATCCCCAATAATGCCAAAATCTATGCTCCAGATGAGTAAGAGTATGAACTGGAACCACTTTCAGGGAACCTCTTGTCTGCACCTCATTCTGTTTTTATTTATTTATTTATTTATTTATTATTTTTGAGATAGAGTCTCACTCTGTTGCCCAGGCTGGAGTGCAATGGTGCTATCTCAGCTCACTGCAACTTCTGCCTTCCTGGTTCTAGTGATTTTCCTGCCTCAGCCTCCCAAGTAGCTGGGACTACAGGCACGTGCCACCACGCCTGGCTAGTTTTTGTATTTTTAGTAGAGACGGAGTTTTACCATGTTGACCAGGCTGGTCTTGAACTCCTGACCTCAAGTGATCTACCCACCTTGGCCTCCCAAAGTGCTGGGATTATAGGCGTGAAATACCACGCCCCGCCTGCACATCATTCTGGGTGGCTGAATCCTCCACTCTCCTGGTTCTCTCCTCTATGCTGGTAGGAGGGGAGGCTGGGAGAGAATGGGAGAGGTGGTCATGATCAGTAAAGAGACAATTGGAGGGAGATGGTCCAACCCTGTGGTTCTGGACTCTGAAGTGGTCTTTACTGAAAACAGCAGATTCCTAGGCTCAGAACAGTGGCAAAATAGCTTGGAATTTAGGGGTCTCTGATTTTTTTCAGATTCTCCCAAGCTGGAGTGCAGTGGTGTGATCTCAGCTCACTGAAACCTCTGCCTCCCGGGCTCAAGTGATCCTCCCACCTCAGCCTCCTGAGTAGCTGGGACTACAGGTGCATGCCACCACACCTAGCTAATTTTTGTAGTTTTGGTAGAGATCTTCCTGTCTTGCCCAAGCTGGTCTTGACCTCCTGGGATCAAGCAATCTGCCTGCCTCAGCCTCCCAAAATGCTGGGATTGCAGGTGTGAGCCACCGTACCCTGCCTCATATATTTTGTTTCGTAATAAGTTTACTTTAAATCAAGATCGAAGGCCAGGCATGGTGGCTCACACCTATAATCCCAAAAGTGTGATTTCAGAATACAAAATTTGGGATTATAATTTGTAATCCCAAAAGTGGGATTTGGGCATGGGCCACCACACCCGGCTGATTTTTTTTTTTTTTTTTTTTGATAGAGACAGGTTTTATACCACATTGCCCAGGCTGGTTTCGAACTCCTTGATTGAAGCGATCTACCTGCCTTGGTCTGACAAAGTGCTGAGATTACAGATGTGCCTTGCCTGACCTGATTATTGTTTTTTATATCTCCTTTAATGTACAGGTTAGCTCTCTCATTTTTTCCCCCTCTTGAAATAGGTTTGTTGGAGAAAATGGATTTTTTTTGTACTGTACAGCTTTCCAGTCTGGGTTTTGCTGATTCTACCCTGGAGGTGCTATGTAAGACACTCCTCTGATCGCTGACTTCTTGTGAATTGCTAATTTCATCTAGAGGTCTGATCAGATTGAAGTTCAGTGTTTGTTTTTGCAGGGCCCCTTCTCAGGGAATGTTGTGAACATTCACCCAGAGGTACATGCTGTCTGCTTGTGTCCGTCTCTTTTGGTGATGTTCTAAGTCATTCGTGATCATCGACTAATCCATTATTTCATTAGGAGTTGCAAAATAGTAATATTGGAATTCTATTATTTCTTTCTTCATTTATGTATTTATTCTTTTTTCTCCCCCACACCCACTCTCCTGCCCTGCTCGCTCCTTTCTTCAGTTATTAGGTAGACTGCTTGTGTAAGAGAAATTGCTTCATCAACCATGGGGTTCAGTTATGGTTTCTATAGGAAAGGCAGAATAAAGGATTTCTCTTTATTACCAGTTTTCAAGTTGTTGAGTTGGTTACGTAGAGTCCTCCACAAGCGACCAATTATTTAAGATACCATTATGAAATCATGGATTGAAACATATTTGATGTACTTCAGTTCACTATAGTCCATTATAGTGATTAGTCTTATGAATGCTCAAATTGTCCCGTCTTTGGCAAGTGGGAGTCTTTTCACCTCTTTCTGACACAGTCCAAAGAGACTTTGATAGCTTTTTGAGTTTCTGATTTGACCAGATATCGAAGCACATCTTGTACATTTCCGTTCCCAGTCTGAGAGCCAAGCATTTCTTTAAGAAGATCTGATTTCAGTTGAAGGGAAATGATAGACTGCCAGAGATGCTTGTTGCTGCTGGATTGGTTCTTGTTTCTAGGGCCTTTTAGTGGGAAGAAAATATAAACATATTTTAAAAATAAACTCATTGTCTGTTTATACTAATACTTTCTTTATTTTTTTAAATTTTTTTTTACCAGCTCTAGGATCAAGGAAAAAGATACTTTCCATTCAAATAGAGGCTCTCAGTGTTTTTATATAACTTCACATACTTGCATCTGTTTTTTTCTCCCGACCAAATATTCTAGTTTCCAAATCGACCAACGTTTGCTTTATCCCTCAATACTTATACACAGTCTTAAAATAACAACATCAATATTATCGCCATTAATATGATAATGCTTTTCCATGAAAGGGCCATACATGCAAAGTGGCCCCCAAAGGTCAAAGGAGCTGAGAAACCAAAGAACAAGGTAGGCAAGTCCAGTTTGTTGCTAAGGCGTGTTTCACTGGGGAACTTACAGACGGAAGCCTGCTCTTGGGCAGCTGCAAGACAGGTGGATCTCGCACTGTTATCTCAGACCCAAGGCTTATTTATATACCATAGGGAAAGAGTATATGTGCTTAGTGCAAGACAAAGGCAACTGTCCAGAACAGGCTAGAATGCTATGTGCGTCACAGCTTATAATTTGTGTGATAACATCAAAGTTGATATATTCTTACACTAGGGACAGTAAATAAAGTAGGAATCAGGAGGCGTTCCTGGGACTGGGGCTAATCAGATGACGACATGGTGGATTAGCATCCAAGATGGGGCCACTTTTGTCTCCACAATAAAACTATTCTTTCAGTTCCTTTTTTTTTGTCCTTAGGGTATATCTCACTAGGAATATACAATCAAATTGCAGTGGTCTAAAGTTGTTTGAGACAGTTTTTCTCTCTGTAATTGTATCACTAACTCACTGTGCGGATAGTCTTTTATTTTTGCTTTTGATTTTTAGAAATTTAAATATATACATGTATATATTCTTAGATATAGAGTAGCATCCAGATTTCCCCACTTCTCTTTTTTTTAAATGAACATTGGGATACAATTGACATACAGTTTGACCTTTCTTTACTTAACAATAGGTGCTGTCAATCAGCCCATGGCAGTATGTAGAGATATTTATTCTTTTTTCAATGCTCCATAGTACTTCATATTTAATTTAGTCAGTCCCTTGTTGTTAGACATTTGGGTTATTTCCAGTATTTATTTATTTATTTATTTTTAAAATTTGAAATAGAGATGGAGTTTCACCATGTTGCTCAGGCTGGCCTTGAACTCCTGGGCTTAAGCAAACAGCCCGCCTTGGCCTCTCAAAAAGTGCTAGGATTACAGCCACCATGCTCGGCCTATTTCTAGTCTTTTGTTATGACAAATAGAGCTGCAATAAATAGCCTACACAAATACTTTTTCATATTTTTGCCAGTGATGTTTTGGAATAGTTTCCTAGAAACGGTATTGCTGGAAATGCATATGTAATTTTGCTAGATACAGCCAGTCAAATTCCCTTCCATAGAGATTGCCTCATTTTGCATTCCTAGTCACAATGTACTAGAATGCCTATTTCCCTATAGCTTTGCCAACTACATGTATTGACAAATTTTTGGATTTTTTGCCGATCTGATAGGTATAATATGCTACCTTAGGATAGTTGTTTTGTTTCGTTTGTTTTGTTTTTTGTTTTTGTTTTTGTTTTGTTTTTTGTTTTTTTGCGATTCTCCTGCCTCAGCCTCCTGAGTAGCTGGGACTACAAGTGAGCGCCACCATGCTTGACTAATTTTTGCATTTTTAGTAGAGACGGGGTTTCACCATATTGGCCAGGCTGGTCTTGAACTCCCGACCTCATGATCCACCTGCCTTGGCCTCCCAAAGTGCTGGGATTACAGGCATGAGCCACCATGCCCAGCCAAAATTTATCATTCTTTCTCTTCAACTGCAGCTGAAGATTTAGCCATAGTTATGCAAGTCTTTTCCACTC
This sequence comes from Homo sapiens, assembly GCF_000001405.40. Classification (NCBI taxonomy): domain Eukaryota; kingdom Metazoa; phylum Chordata; class Mammalia; order Primates; family Hominidae; genus Homo; species Homo sapiens. The sequence continues at coordinate 2,056,963 of NT_167245.2, forward strand.
CCAAGCTGTAGAAGAATTTATTTCCCTTTAATATTGTGTGGTTTTTGTTTTTTAAAGTCTCATATGGAATTTATCTTTTTGTATGTATGCTATGATAAGTGGACCAACTTTTGTCTTTTTTCATATAGAGTCTCAAATTTGATATTACTAGCTCCTCTCTCCCACCCCCTCCCTTCAGCTTGATTTTTCCTGGACATTTTATTATTTTCTTGGCCAAAGCTGGACATGGATCAAAATAAACGTCTGTTCAACTCCCTGTGTTTGGTTCCATTTTGCTGCCTGTTTTTCTTTCCTGGATTCTTTGTGATTTCAGCACAGTGTTTTTCCAGCCATTCAAGGAGTTATGACCTTTAGGGCTTGAGGAAGAGTGCATTAAAGGCCTGTCCAGAGAATGATTCAAGGGGGAGTGGATCCTGTAGACGTCCAGGAGGGCCCAGCTCTACTTGGGCCAGGGGGTTGGAGAGCTGCTTCTCAGGAGCAGGATGGCCACTCACGCGTGTGGAGCACTCAGGAGCCCAGTTTTTTGTGTTTTTGTTTTTTCCTTGAGACGGAGTCTTACTGTGTCGCCTGGGCTGGAGTGCAGTGGTGTGATCTCGGCTCACTGCAACCTCTGTCTCTTGGGTTCAAGTGATTCTCCTGCCTCAGCCTCCTGAGTAGCTGGGATTACGGGCGCCCGCCACCACACCCAGCTAATTTTTATTTTTAGTAGAGACGGGGTTTCACCATGTTGGCCAGGCTGGTCTCGAACTCTTGACCTCAGGTGATCTGTCCAGCAGCCTCCCAACGTGTTGGGATTACAGGCGTGAACCACGGCGCCTGTCCTGGAGCCCAGTTTTTGTTGATAACCCATGTTTCCTGTTTCCACCCCTCCCCTGCTCTTGATTTCCATTAGGAATTTCTACCTTTCTAACTGGAAAAGACTGGGGTCAGGGGGTGGAGAAGTGGGCAGAGGAAGGGAGGAGTGGAATACAGAAATTGAAACCTGTCTTACTCTGCTCATGTAACTCCTAGCGCAGATCCATATCATTAATGCCAACTACCATTTAGTGGTTATTTCCTACCACCACGCATCAGATACTGCGCTAAGTACTTTACACAGAATAAATCATTTCATCTTGACCTGTTAGTTGGCTAGGGTGGTTACTTCCAGAAGGAAAAAGAGGCCCAGAGATAAGTTCACACAATTGGTAAGTAGTGGGATTTGGGTCTGTGTGACGTCAGATTCCAGGCTCAAAACGTCTAAGTTTGTGGCCTCCGCAAAAAAGGCTCATAACAGTCTGTATTTCTGTTTGCTTTTCCATGTAAAGACTAACTTTACTCCACTTCACTGCCCAGATCTGCTGAGCTCAGATGTGAGCAGTGTGCTCGGCTGTGACTGCAGGCATCATGCTAGGCTGTAGGGACCCGTGGCTGGAGAGGGGCTCCGTCTTGCCCTCCGTCTGTTCTGTTGCCAGCACAGTGCTTGGCACACGTGGGCTCTCATCACGTATCTGTTGGATAATTAGATGAAAAAGGAGGAGGAAGAGGAATGTGTGCTGGAGATAAAGCGGCAGGAGTGGAGGAGGCGCAGGGGAAGAGAACAGATTTGGGAAAAACCAGTGGGACATGAGGATGCTGGGCAGGTGGGTAGAAGGTTGCCATGTGTTCAGAAGCACAGAAAAAGGGTGACTTCCAGGTCAAAAGTGATTTCAGGATGGGTGTGATGGCTCATGCCTGTAATCCCAGCACTTTGGGAAGCTGCCGGACGGATCACCTGAGGCCAGGAGTTACAGACTTGCCTGGCCAATATGGTAAAACCCTGTCTCTACTGAAAATACAAAAATTAGCAGGTGTGGTGGCAGGCACCTGTAATCCCAGCTACTCGGGAGGGCTGAGGCAGAAGAATCGCTTGAACCCAGCAGGTGGAGGTTGCAGTGAGCCAAGATTGCACCACTGCACTCCAGCCTAGGCGGCAGAGTAAGACTGTCTCAAAAAAAAAAAAAAAAAAAAAAAAAAAAAAAAATATATATATATATATATATATAAACACACACACACACATATATATACACACATATATATACACATGTATACACACACATATATATATACACACACACATATATAAAGTGATTTCAGTTTTTTCACAACTTGATCACTGAGCAAGTGACTTAGACTGTGGTCATTTTCTGTTAACTCTTATCTGATCCAACTAGAAAGCAAAGCAAAACAAAAACCTGACTGCCTTCTACAGACAAGCCAATGTGAAGGTATTCAGCTCACACAGGTGGCAAAAGACAGAGAAACACCCAAGTTACCTCAGGGGATGGACATTGCCTAAGGATACACAGGTGAGTAAGGAAAATAGGAAATGGCTTCTGTAGGTCTCAAGAACTAGAGCACCATTCAGGATGCGATGGCCACACACAGTGTGGCCTGGCAGAGAGGAGGAAACTGCTCTCCATCATCAAGAATACAGCTCTAGGCCGGGTGTGGTTGCTCACGCCTGTAATTCCAGTACTTTGGGAGGCTGAGGAGGGTGGATCACCTGAGGTCAGGAGTTCGGGACTAGCCTGGTCAAAATGGTGAAACCTCATCTCTACTAAAAATAAAAATAAAAAATTATCCGGGCGTAGTGGCGCACGCCTATAGACCCAGCTACTGAGGAGGCTGAGGCAGGAGAATTGCTTGAACCCAGGAGGCGGAGGTTGAAGTGAGCTGAGGTTGTGCCATTGCACTTCAGCCTGGGTGACAAGAGCAAAACTCTGCCTCAAAAATAAAGATAAAAATAAAAGCCGGGCTCTGTGGCTAACACCTGTAATCCTAGCACTTTGGGAGGCCGGGGTGGACAGATCACGAGGTCAAGAGATCGAGACTATCCTGGCCAACATTGTGAAACCCTGTCTCTACTAAAAATACAAAAATTAGCTGGGCATGGCAGCGCGTGCCTGTAGTCCCAGCTACTCAGGAGGCTGATGCAGGAGAATCGCTTGAACCCGGGAGGCGGAGGTTGCAGTAAGCCGAGATCGTGCCACTGCACTCTAGCCTGGCAACAGAGCAAGACTCCATCTCAAAATAAAATAATAATAATAATAAATTAAAAAAGAAAATACAGAAATTTGGCTGGGTGCGGTGGCTCATGCCTGTAATCCCTGCACTTTGGGAGGCCGAGGTGGGCGGATCACTTGAGGTCAGGAGTTCGAGACCAGCCTGGTCAACATGGTGAAACCCTGTCTGTATTAAAAATATAAAAAAAATTAGCCAGGCCTGGTGGCAGGTGCCTGTAATCCCAGCTACTCAGGAGGCTGAGGCAGGAGAATTGCTTGAACCTGGAAGGTGGAGGTTGCAGTGAGCTGAGATCACGCCACTGCACTCCAGCCTGGGCAACAGAGCAAGATTCTATCTCAAAATAAATAAATAAATAAATAAAAGAATACAGCTCTTCTAGTTCCCAGCCCCTCTGGGGTTCTTGTGTGAAAGAAAACATTTTAATGTGTCCTTTGATTACATGAAATTCAGGCAGAGTCTGATCAAAGAGATGCCCCATTGCTGAGCACAGTGAAGAGAAAGGATGTCTTCCTTGAGCAGAGAGGTGGTGAGAAATTTCCAGAATAGGGCACCTTGCATGGAGATTATTTTAGGAATGTCATCTCTGGTATGGAATTCTACTTGTCCCCTGTAGAATTCTGGGCTGGCCTACCCATGGTTCAAGCTTCCACTGAAGCTGTGTTGACCCCTAGTCCAGTGTCAGCTGGTAAAGGAAGGGAAGGGCTGAAGGAGCTGGACCCCCACAGGGAGGTGTTGAAAGAAAGGAGAAGCAAGAGGTGATATTGACCAGGGAAATGGCGCCACTTCCTGAGCCAGGGCCCTGGACTTCCTGTAGTTGTAGAAAAGTGCGGGCCTGAGTTATTTAACTATCAAAGAAAAAGTGGTGCTCTGTGTGTGGGAAAAACAACACTCAATGTGCTTTTTCCTACTCTCTCACTCACAACAATCATTAACACAGAAGGCTTCTGTGACCAAATGTGAGGAGTTTTGTCTCTACACATCAAGCAAGCAATTAAATCTGCAGCAGACACCAGTTGGGTGTCTTCTAATCCAATTCTGACACTGTCTACCTAGAGGTAGCATCAGATCCCACAGGTTGAGGGCTCAGTCCCCAAGACTGCCCCCCGACCCACATTGGTCACAGGTTTGGCCTTGGGAACTTCTGACCCACCAGCTTCAAGTTGGGATTCCCACAACCCCCTCTTTGGGTTCAGTTAAATGAACACTTGCATTTACTGGTTTATTACAAAGGCTAGAGATGAAGAGATGCACAGGGAGAAGGGGCACAGAGCTTCCGAGTCCTCCCTGTGTGCAACACCTTCCAGGAACCTCCATGTGTTCAGCTCTCCAGAAGCTCTCTGAACCCCATCCTCTTGGGCATTTATGGAGACTTCACTGGACAGGCATGACTGAAGCATGGTCAACCATGTCAAAATGTGATTGAACAAAAAGGATATGATCTAATACTAACAGACAGACTGGGGAAACCCAGTGAGTCCTGTCCAGATTCTTCTTGGCCTCTCTGTGCAGCCTTTCTTCCTCCAGGATATGGGGCATCCTTTCTGAAATGGGAGTCTTATGACCTATAGTCAGACAAGGTAGGTCAAAGACAGAAAGATGGGCAAAGATTCCTGCCTTGGAGAGATAAAGGAGCAGATGAAATGAGGGCAGGAGAAGGTCAGAGAGATTCCGTTTATTGAGACCTGCTTCTGAGGCTTAAAGCACCCAACATTACAACAACAGATGGTAACAAGGGCAATGGGAATTATAAGCCAGGAACCATGGACTAAAACCTATATATAAATTATAATAGCACAGAATCCCAAAGGCTGGAAAACTTGTGGGCTTCCCTTTTACCATATAGAGCCACTGTTCTCTCCACAGTGCCTGCATATTCCTGTCTCTTTCTGTTGAATGACTTTTTTTTTGACACAGTCTCACTCTGTTGCCCAGGCTGGAGTGCAGTGGTGTGATCTTGGTTCACTGCAACCTCCACCTCTTGGGTTCAAGAGATTCTCCTGCCTCAACCTCCCAAGTAGCTGGGATTATAAGCTCCTGCCACCACGCCCGTCTAATTTTTTGTATTTTTGTAGAAACAGGGTTTCACCATGTTGGCCAGCCTGGTTTTGAACTCCTGACCTCAAGTGATTCACTCACCTTGGCCTCCCAAAGTGTTGGGATTACAGGCGTGAGCCACTGTGCCGAGCCTGTAGAATGACTTTAAATCTCCACCCTCTACCTATAGCAGCCCACTTCCTCCTCTCTCTTCAAATCTCCTTTTTCTCACTTTCTTCTCCATCTTCCTTGCCCTTTTAGAAGCAGAAAAGGGCATACCTTTTCTGTGATACCTTTTCTCTCCATCATGAAAGTCTCGGCCACGGTCCTCTAACAAAAGACAGGTTAACGAGAGAAAAACATTTATTGAATCCAAGTTTTATGTGTCACGGTGGCCTTTAGAATGAAGACCCACAGGGGCCGGATGTGGCGGCTCATGCCTGTAATCCCAGCAGTTTGGGAGGCCGAGGTGGGCAGATCACTTGAGGTCAGGAGTTCAAGACCAGCCTGTCCAATATGGTAAGATCCTGTCTCTACTAAAAAAAAAAAAAATTTAGCTGGGTGTGGTGGCATGCACCTGTAGTCCCAGCTACTCATGAGGCTGAGGCAGGAGAATTGCTTGAACACAGGAGGCAGAGGTTGCAGTGAGCTGAGATCACACTGCCACACTCCAGCCTGGGCGACAGAGCGAGACTCCGTCTCAAAAAAAAAAAAAAAAAAAAAAAAAAGAAAGGAAAAACAAAAGAATTAAGACCCACAGGGAAAATTCTCATTTTTTATGCTTAGAGTTGATGAAGAATGGATGGTCATGTGGAAACATTATGGGACAGAAAGGGTATGATCTCCTGGAGGAATCCAGCAATGCCTGTCTGTCCGGATTCTTCTCGGCCTCTATGTTGTAGCATTTCTGCCAGCCAGGTATGGGACTGGACCACTCTGGAATGAGGATCTTATTGTGTCCAGAAATGGTGGGTTCTTGGTCTCACTGACTTCAAGAACGAAGCCACAGACCCTCGCGGTGAGTGTTATAGCCCTTAAGGTGGTGCTTCTGGAGTCTGTCCTTTCTGATGTTCAGATGTGTTCGGAGTTTCTTCCTTCTGGTAGGTTCATGGTCTTGCTGGCTCAGGAGTGAAGCTGCAGATCTTCACGGTGTTACAACTTATAAAAGCAGCATGGACCCAAAAAGTGAACAGCAGCAAGACTTATTGCAAAGAGCAAAAGAACAAACCTTCCACAGTCTGGAAAGGGACCCAAGCGGGTTGCCAATGCTGGTTCGGGCAGCCTGCTTTTATTCTCTTATCTGGCCCCACCCACATCCTGCTGATTGGTAGAGCCGAGTGGCCTGTTTTGTCAGGGTGCTGATTGGTGCGTTTACAATCCTTGCGCTAGATACAAAGGTTCTCCACGTCCCCATCAGATTAGTTAGATACAGAGTTTGGACACACAGGTTCTCCAAGGCTCCACCAGAGCAGCTAGATACAGAGTGTCGACTGGTGCACTCACAAGCCTTGAGCTAAACACAGGGTGCTGATTGGTGTATTTACAATCCCTGAGCTAGACATAAAGACTCTCCACATCCTCACCAGACTCAGGAGCCCAGCTGGCTTCACCTAGTGGATCCCACACTGGGGCTGCAGGTGGAGCTGCCTGCCAGTCCTGTGCCGTGTGCTTGCACTCCTCAGCCCTTGGGTGGTCGATGGGACTGGGCGCCGTGGAGCAGGGGGTGGTGCTCGTCGGGGAGGCTCGGGCCGCACAGGAGCCCTTTGAGTGGGTGGGAGGCTCAGGCATGGCGGGCTGCAGGTCCCGAGCCCTGCCCCGCGGGAAGGCAGCTAAGGCTCGGTGAGAAATCGAGCGCACCGCCGGTGGGCTGGCACTGCTGGGCGACCCAGTACACCCTCTGCAGCCACTGGCCCGGGTGCTAAGTCCCTCATTGCCCGGGGCCGGCAGGGCTGGCCGGCTGCTCTGAGTGCGGGGCCCTCCAAGCCCACGCCCACCCGGAACTCCCGCTGGCGCCCAAGCGCCGCTCGCAGCCCCGGTTCCCGCTCGCACCTCTCCCTCCACACCTCCCTGCAAGCTGAGGGAGTGGGCTCCAGCCTTGGCCAGCCCAGAAAGGGGTTCCCACAGTGCAGTGGTGGGCTGAAGGGCTCGTCAAATGCCGCCAAAGTGGGAGCCCAGGTAGAGGAGGTGCCAAGAGCAAGCGAGGGCTCTGAGGACTGCCAGCACGCTGTCACCTCTCATTATGGCCCACCATTAGACAAGGGTAGGTCAGACTATTTATTTATGGTCATGTCTTAGGAAGCAGTAGAAGAAATAATTCTAGTTTTTATGGCTGGCTTTGGGGAACAGGGGTTCTGGTTTCTATGACCTGTCTTAGGGAGGACTAATTCTGGCTTCTGTGGGTCACTTCAGGAGAGAATGAGGGGCGAGAGACAGGAGGGGCAGAAGGTCAGAGGGATCTTGGTTTCGAGGCTGCTTCTGAGTCTTCCCAATGTCCTTTAGTTCAAAGTATTCAGCATGCCAAAGTGCCACACTTTGGGGTATTGTTTTCTGAGCCCCAGTGTTTTCTTCCTCTCTTCTTCATTCTTTCTCAATCTCTTCTTCTTCTTCTTTTTTTAATTGAGATGGAGTCTCACTCTATTACCCAGGCTGGAGTGCAGTGCCATAATCTCCGCTCACTGCAACCTCCGCCGCCGCCCAGGTTCAAGTGATTCTCGTGCCTCAGCCTCCCAAGTAGCTGGGACTACAGGCACATGCCACCATGCCTGGCTTTTTTTTTCTATTTTTAGTAGAGATGGGGTTTTGCCATGTTGGCCAGGCTGGTCTCGAATTCCTGACCCCAGGTGATCCGCCTGCCTTGACCTCACGCCTGCTGGGATTATAGGCGTGAGCCACTGCATCCGGCCCCCAATCTCTTCTCAATCGCATTCATCAATATTTTTTTTTCTTCCTTTTTCATCCCATCACCTTGGGTCTCTCCTTGTCCGTCTCCCAGTCTTTCTTACTGTCAGCTAGCCCCTTGCTTTTCCCCTTCCTTTCTTTGCAACAGCTTCCTATCTCATTTGTTCAGCATAATAGAAGTGCAAACCGATGGCCTACTGCCTGAGTATCTGCTCTGCAGAAACATATAATTTGCTAAGAGAACGTTTATCCAAAATATTGTCTTCAGGAACTGGGAGCAGTGGCTCATGCATGTAACTCCAGCACTTTGGGAGGCCGAGTTGGGAGGATTGCTTGAGCCCAGGAGTTTGGGACCAGCCTGGGCAACATAGTAGGACCCCGTCTTTATAAAAAATACAAAAATTAGCCAGGCATGATGCTACACGCCTGTAGTCTGTAGTCAGCTTCTGGGGAGGCTGAGCTGGGAGGACTGCTTGAGCCCAGGAGGTCAAGGCTGTAGAAAACTTTGATTGTGCTACTGCACTCCAGCTTGGGTGACAGAGCAAGACCCTGGCTCCAAAAAAAAAGAAGAAAAAAAGTCTTCAATCTCAACAATTAAGAATTGGAGATTTCACATAAAAATCCAGATTTTATCCTGGGCAACATGGGCAACACAGTGAGACCCTGTCTTTACAAAAAATAATAAAAATCAGCTGGGTGTGGTGGTTCACACCTATAATTTAATTTGAGAGGCTGAGGAGGGAGGATTGTTTCAGCCCAGGAGTTCCAGGCTGCAGTGTTTTATGATAGTGCCATTGCACTCCCGACTGGGGTGAGACCCGGTCCCTAAACAGAAATCCCAGTTTTACAGCTTAAAAAAAAATCAGGCTATCTGGCATCATGCGACCTACACCAATTGCTAGTAACAGTTGATGGAGCTGGGCGGTGGCTGCCCCACTCTGTTCACCAGTGCCCACTCCATGCCTCCTGGCCTCCTTAACACTGAGGGAAAGTGCCAATTGGCATTTATTATTTAGCTTGAGTAGTTATTTTTTCCTCTAGCAGACAAATTTTAGTTTCTACCTATATCTTTACTGAAAAAAGGGAAAACAGAGAACAAGAGCCAGGTCTTTCTTATCCCAAGCCTGCTACCTCATTTGCATTTTCTGCTTTGCCCCTGCAGGTGGCTGAGTTTTCAACCTTCGCTATAGACAAAGGCTCAGGTCTCCCTTCCCCATTTCTCACCGTGCCTCACTTCTCTTTTACTCTCTCCATATATCCTCGTTTCTCTTTTTGTTCATATAAGGTTAATATTTAGGCCGGGCACAGTGGCTCACGCCTGTAATCCCAGCACTTTGGGAGGCCAAAGCGGGTGGATCACTTGAGGTCAGGAGTTCGAGACCAGCCTGGCCAACATGGTGAAACACCATCTCTACTAAAAATACAAAAATATTAGCCAGGCATGGTGGTGCATGCCTGTAATCCTAGCTACTTGGGAGGCTGAGGCAGCAGAATCACTTGAACCCGGGAGACAGGAGTTGCAGTGAGCCGAGATGGCATCACTGCACTCCAGCCTGGGTGACGGAGTGAGACTCCATCTCAAAAAAAAAAAAAGTTAATATTTAATGCATTGATGTAAAGCTAACTTCAGGACCACTTTTGAAACTTTTTTTCAGACTGTTTTGAAATCTTCAATCTTCAGAAAAAGTCTGTGAAAAATCATTTTATTTTCGCACTAGTGTGTGTGTTTGTGTGTGTGTGCACGCACATAGATGAGAGTAGTTACTCTATGAAGGATCTGTTACTTATCTTGCTATTTTTCTTGTTTGACTAACAGCCTATTTATATGGATAAGATCTGAGAATCGGTTACTAGGCCGTATGAAAGAGGAGTCTTCTTTAGGATCATTATCAGTACAGGCCTGGCATTCACCTAACCAGTAATAGAAACCTGAAAAACAGTGGCATAAAAAATTGAGAGTTTAATTTTCCTGCATTTAGAATAAATCTAGAGGTGACAGCAGGGATCCTAATAGCATAGCAATATTGGCAAGAACCTAGTGTAATTAACCATGTTTTCTAGTTTCTATATTCTGATACTTCCACATCGTGGGGTCTTGCTGACCCTGGAGTGACTGCCTCTCCCAGGTTGAGCTAATTCCTAGAAGCAAAGAACTCGCCTGTCATATGTAGATCAACCAAGCTAGACCCCATCCTCCCAACCACCACCTTCATCAGGCTCTGCCACTCCTAGCTGCAATTCCCCTAGTCACCCCAGGATCAGTACTAGAGAGCTAGGGACAGCCCCTATGCCCCAGAGGCTGCTGAAATTATTCAAACTAGCCGAGCCTGAACTTGCTTACCTGCCTGCACGCTCCTGCCTGTGAAACCACAATAAAGGCTCTTGCCCACATTTTCCTTTCACTCCCACTGCCTCCTGACTGACTCAGGTGCTTCCCCATGGGGCACCCCTGCACGCCATGCCATGCCTCATGCATGTTTCTAGGGAACTGTGAGTAAATGTCTTCCTCCATGAAAGTGATTCCTGTGTCTGCACGTCTTGCCACACCTGATTAAAACAAACCCTGGCTACCTTTACAACCCCCAGGTCCATCCAGCCTTCTGAGCCACCACCCTGACTTGATCGAGCATCAGGAATCTCATTTCTGGGCCGGGGTGCAGTGGCTCACGCCTATAATCCCTACACTTTGGGAAGCCAAGGCTGGCAGATCACCTGAGGTCAGGAGTTTGAGACTAGCCCGGCCAACATAGTGAAATCCTGTCTCTACTAAAAAAAAAAAAAAAAAAAAAATAGCTGGGTGTAGTGGCATATTCCTGTAACTCCAGCTACTTGGGAGGCTGAGGCACGAAAATCACTTGAACCTGGAGGTGGAGGCTGCAGTGAGCCGAGAATGTGCCCCTGCACTCCAGCCTGGGTGACAGAGTGAGACTCTGTCTCAAAACAAACAAACAAACAAACAAACAAAAATAAAAAGAATCTCATTTCTGGGTGGTGTGGTGGCTCACACCTATAATCCCAGCCCCTTGTGAGGTTAGGATAGGAAGATCACTTGAGGCCAGGAGCTTGAGACCAGCCTGGGGAATGTAGCAAGACTCCGTCTCTACAAAAATAAAAAATAAAAAAAAAATTAGCCAGATGTAGTGGTATACACCTGTAGTCCCAGCTACTCAGGAGGCTGTGGCAGGAGGATCACTTGAGCCCAGGTGTTTGAGGTTACAGTGAGCTATGATCGCACCACTGCACTCTAGTGTGGGCAACAGAAGGAGATGGAGTGAGAGTGTCCCTAAAGATAATAAGAATCTCATTTCTTAATTTATTTTCCTTAACACTTACCATATTCTGAAATACTATATATTTGTTTGCTTATAATTTGTTTCCTCTCACTAGACTGTAAGCTCCTTGAAGCCAGAGATTTTTATCTGTTTTCTTTATGGTAAGTTCCTAGAACTGAAAACAGGGCCTGGCATGTATTTACTGAAAAAGTGATTAAGTGCTCTCCAGTTGATGGCTGGAGTTCAGACCATCATGGTTTTGTTTCAGGCTGGAGGAAGTGGGAGAGTAAAAGGCAAAGGGGGCCCATGCCAGTTGAGTCAGTCCTAGAAAAGAACTTTTCTGAAAGTCCCCTTTACATGACTTAGGCTAACATCTCATTGGCCAGCCCTATGCCACACCACCACTCCTACCTGCATGGCAGTTTGAGGCAAAAAAAAATTTAAAGCATAGAACTTTGCTAAACAAAATAAAATTGGGGTTCTGCTAGAAGAAGGAAGGGACAATGAACACTGGGTCTCTGCAAGGGGGCTGTTGGCTGCACTCCAAATGCCCGCAGCATTATACACGAATCATACATGGAGCTCTTTTTTTTTTTTTTTTTTGAGGTGGAGTCTTACTCTGTTGCCCAAGTTGGAGTGCAGTGGTGTGATCTCGGCTCACTGCAAGCTCCACCTCCTGGATTCACACCATTCTCCTGCCTCAGCCTCCCGAGTAGCTGGGACTACAGGCGCCCACCACCCCCGGCTAATTTTTGTATTTTTAGTAGAGACGGGGTTTCACCATGTTAGCTAGGATGGTCTCGATCTCATGACCTTGTGATCCGCCCGCCTCGGCCTCCCAAAGTGCTGGGACCGCAGGCGTGAGCCACCGCGCCCAGCCCTACATGGAGCTCTTTACCCTGGCCTGTGCTTTCCTCTCTATTTACTTTTTTTTTTTTTTTCCTGAGAGGGAGTCTTGCTCTGTCGCCCAGGCTGGAGTGCAGTGGTGTGATCTTGGCTCACTGCAACCCCTGTCTCCTGGGTTCAAGCGATTCTCCTGCCTCAGCCTCCCATGTAGCTGGGATTGCAGGTGCCTGCCACCACACCCAGCTAATTTTTGTATTTTTAGTAGAGAACAGGGTTTCATCATGTTGGCCAGGCTGGTCTCAAACTCTCTACCTCAAGTGATCTGCTCGTCTTGGCCTCCCAAAGTGCTAGAATTACAGGCGTGAAGCCACCACGCCCGGTTTCCTCTCTATTTACTCTTGTGAGTAACATCAGCTTCTTTGAACTTCACCAAACTTAATTCCTTAATTCCATACTAACTGTTTATTTGTTGAGTTTCCAAGATGCAATTGCATATAATTCCAGGAACTGTGAGTAGTAAGAACCCCCTTATCAGCTGTCCTATTTTTAGATATCATGATTCCTACTGAAACATTCAGTGGCTTAAGCTCTGCCCAGCATGTTCTTGACCCTATGTGCCTGTGGGGTGTGTGTGTGTGGTGTGTGTGTGTGTGTGTATGTGGGTGTGTGTGTGTGTATGTGCACACAGTCATGTGCACTCTCACATCACATAAGGGGAAGATAAAGGGAGACTCTCCGTGGCTCTTCCTCCTTTTTTCCAAGGCTGATGTTGGCCCTTTCTGAAAATGCTTTAATGTGTAGAAAGCAGCCCACAGATAGGCACTCCCTGTGATAAAGCAGTCACAGCCAGAGCAGGGTCCCTCCCACCTCAGCCTCCTAAGTAGCTGAGACTACAGGTGTACCACCACGCTTAGGTAAGTTTAAAAAAAAAAGTTTTGTAGAGATGGGGGTCTTACTATGTTGCCCAGGCCGATCTCAAACTCCTGGCCTCAAGTGATCCTCCCACCTTGGCCTCTCAAAGTGCTGGGATTACAGATACGAGCCACCACACCTAGCTGAGAATTTCTTTATGGCCATCTTCTGGACAAAAAGTCAAGGAGAGTTTAGAGTAATAATTCCAGTTTTTATGGCTTTTGCTTCGGGGAAAAAGGGTTCTAGTTTCTAGGACCTACCGTGGGGAAGAGGATTCTGGTTTCTATGACTCACTTCAGGGGAGCACGAGGGACGAGAGAGACAGGAGGGCAGGAGCAGGTCAGAGGGACCTTGGATCTGAGGCTGCTTCTGAGGCCTTCCAATGTCCTTTAGTTAAGTACTCATCGCCATACTTTGGGGTATTGTGTTCTGAACCCCAACAGAAACAACTCACTCTCTCGGCATCAGCCTTGTGCCTACACCCACAGGAGCAGGAGCACAAGCCATTGCAGGTGCGGGCTCCTCAGATGGAGCAACTCCAATGTCACCTGCTCCTCACCTGTACCCAGTGGACTTTTTTGGCAGCCTCCCCCATCTTCTCGTGTGGCTCCATATCTTTATATCTTCTGTGGCAGACGTAGCCTGCTGCCTCCCCAAACTCCATCGTCCTCTTCTCCTTCAACCATGGAAACTTGATTTTGTCTGTGGCATCCATGTGCCTCTTTGAAACACTCACCTCCTCAGACTGCCTTGAATCCAGGGGTGGCCACATGACTGGGTAATGAGTCACCAGTAGAAGTCGGCTTGATGGGGCTTTTAGGGAAACAACGGCTTTCCTGTTTTTGTTTTTCTTCTTCTTTTTTTTAAATTTTCTCCTGCTACCCCTCCCCTTGTTTGTTTTTAAGATGGATTTGTTCAGAACACATCTTTTGCTCTTTCCTTCTCCTTTCTGCCTGGAATGTAGATGTGATGTCTGAAGGCAGAGCAACCATCTTGCACATGTGACATAGAAAGGTAGATGTGAAGACATCTAGCAGGAGATTGCATCTCTGGTGATTGGAGCAGCTGTATCAGCTCTGGACTGCCTGCTCAAGTCTTCTTCATAACTGGGAAAAATAAACACCTATGAAGTTAGGCCATTGTATTGAGTTTTTGTTACTCAAGAACCAAACACAATCTTTATTTATTTATTGAGATGGCATTTCACTCTTATTGCCCAGGCTGGTGTGTGGTGGCGTGACCTCAGCTCACTACAACCTCTACCCCCCATCCAGCCCTGCTCCAGGTTCAAGCGATTCTCCTGCCTCAGCCTCCTGAGTAGCTGAGATTACAGGCGCCCACCACGTCTGGCTAATTTTTTGTATTTTTAGTGGAGACGGGGTTTCACAATGTTGGCTAGGCTGGTCTTGAACTCCTGACCTCAGGTGATCCACCCTCCTCAGCCTCCCAAAGTGCTGGAATTACAAAGGTGAGCCACGGCACCCGGCCTTTTTTTTTTTTTTTGAGACAGTCTCGCTCTGTTGCCAGGCTGGGATGCAGTGTGGCGTGATCTTAGCTTGTGTCCGGAATTGGTGGGTTCTTGGTCTCACTGACTTCAAGAATGAAGCCACGGACCCTCACGGTGAGTGTTATAGCTCTTAAGGTGGCATGTCTGGAGTTTGTTCCTTCTGATGTTCAGATGTGTTCGGAGTTTCTTCCTTCTGGTGGGTTTGTGGTCTCACTGGCTCAGGAGTGAAGCTGCAGACCTTCGTGGTGAGTGTTAACAGCTCTGAAGGCAGTGCATCTGGAGTTCTTTGTCTCTCCCGGTGGGCTCGTAGTCTCACTGGCTTCAGGAATGAAGCTGCAGACCTTTGCAGTGAGTGTTACAGCTCATAAAAAGCAATGTAGACTCAAAGACTGAGCAGTAGCAAGATTTATTGCAAAGAGCAAAAGAACAAAGCTTCCACACTGTGGAAGGGGACCAGAGCAGGTTGCCACTGCTGGCTGGGGCAGCCTGCTTTTAGTCTCTTATCTGGCCACACCCACATCCTGCTGATTGGTAGAGCCGAGTGGCCTGTTTTGACAGGGTGCTGATTGGTGCGTTTACAATCCCTGAGCTACATACAAAGGTTCTCCACGTCCCCATCAGATTAGTTAGATACAGAGTATGGACACACGGGTTCTCCAAGGCCCCACCAGAGCAGCTAGATACAGAGTGTAGATTGGTGCACTCGCAAACCCTGAGCTAGACACAGGGTGCTGATTGGCGTGTTTACAAACCTTGAGTTAGATACAGAGTGCCGATTGGTGTATTTACAATCCCTGAGCTAGACATAAAGGTTCTCCAAGGGCCCACTAGAGCAGCTAGGTAGAGTGTCAATTGGGGCACTCACAAACCCTGAGCTAGACACAGGGTGCTGATTGGCGTGTTTACAAACCTTGAGCTAGATACAGAGTGCCGATTGGTGTATTTACAATCCCTGAGCTAGACATAAAGACTCTCCACATCCCCACCAGACTCAGGAGCCCAGCTGGCTTCACCCAGTGGATCCAGCACCGGGGCTGCAGGTGGAGCTGCCTGCCAGTCCTGGGCCATGCGCTCACACTCCTTAGCCCTTGGGCGGTCGATGGGACTGGGCGCCCTGGAGCAGGGGGCGGCGCTCGTCGGGGAGGCTTGGGCCGCACAGGAGCCCACGGAGTGGGTGGGAGGCTCAGGCATGGCGGGCTGCAGGTCCCGAGCCCTGCCCCGTGCGAAGGCAGCTAAGGCCTGGCGAGAAATCGAGCGCAGTGCCGGTGGGCCGGCACTGCTGGGGGACCTAGTACACTCTCCGCAGCCGCTGGCCCGGGTGCTAAGCCCCTCACTGCCTGGGGCTGGCAGGGCCCGCCGGCTGCTCCGAGTGCGGGGCCCGCCAAGCCCACGCCCACCCGGAACTCCAGCTGGCCCGCAAGCACTGCACGCAGCCCCGGTTCCCGCTCGCGCCTCTCCCTCCACACCTCCCTGCAAGCTGAGGGAGCCGGCTCTGGCCTTGGCCAGCCCAGAAAGGGGCTCCCATAGTGCAGCGGTGGGCTGAAGGGCTCCTCAAGTGCCGCCAAAGTGGGAGCCCAGGCAGAGGAGGCGCCCAGAGCGAGTGAGAGCTGTGAGGACTGCTAGCAGGCTGTCACCTCTCAAGCTCACTGCAACCTCTGCCTCCCAGGTTCAAGTGATTCTCCTGCCTCAGCCTCCTGAGTAGCTAGGATTACAGGCGTGTGCCACCACACCCGGCTAATTTTTGTACTTTTAGTGGAGACAGGGTTTCACCATGTTCGCCAGGCTGGTCTCAAACTCCTGACTTCAGGTGATTCACCCACCTTGGCCTCCCAAAATGCTGGGATTACAGGCATCAGCCACTGCTCCTGGCCTCTGTGTAGTTTTGTTTGGAGCTGCAGTAAATAGTGTCTAATCTTTTCCTTCCTTACAGGCTATTTCTCCATATTGCTTCCCAGATACAAAATTCATAAATGTATACAAGCCATACCCATGTTACCCACTCCCTCAGGCCCTGCCAAGGCCTTGAGAAACTAGACTCAGACTGTGTCTCCATGTAGGGGGATTGCACATAGCATCTTTGAACTTCAGTTTCTCTTTCTGTAAAATGGGGAATTTTGACTACTTAGCATGCGTCATGTGTTAAAACCCTAACCTCGTTAGCAATTATAACCACTATCAGTATCCCATACTCTGGTTTTTTTAGGGCTTTCCCAAGGCAAATGGGAAGATTTGCTGCCAAGCTCACTTCGGGAGGTCACCAGGCCCAGAACATTCTCGTCCTCACAAATTTTCACTTCCTTCATTTAAGAACAAGGACTAGAGTGTTCTCACTTAATTACAACTGGGATAGGTGGGAGGGAGTTACCCATGTGGGCAACATTAGGGAAACTTTTTCTTTGAGACAGGGTCTTGCTCTGTTGCCCAGGCTGGAGTACAGTGGTGTGATCATGGCTCACTGCAGCCTCGACTTCCTGGGCTCAAGCAATCCTCCTGTCTTAGCCTCCTAAGTTCTGACAGCCCTTAGGGACTACAGGCGCACACCACCACACCCCATTCATTTTTGCATTTCTTGTGGAGATGCGTTTTTTCCATGTTTCTCAGGCTGGTCTTGAATTCCTGGGCTCAAGAGATCCTTAGGGAAACATTCTACCAAACCAGAAGTGATGGATCAACTCCCAGCAAGCCTTTAGTGGGCATTGTTCTTTTCAGGGAGCTGGATAGAAGAGGGGTCTCGGAGCCACAACACCCGTGCTGCCCATGATGGTAGAAAAGGGAAGTCTAAAAAGAGTTTGGGTCTGAACTGGGGCCTAGGAAAAGTTAATGGGGCAGTGATTTTGGCCTTTTCTACCCACCTCCTTGTAATAATATTATTTTAACAATCTGGCTGGTTATGTGGCTCATACCTATAATCCCAGCACTTTGGGAGGCCAAGGTGAATGGATCACCTGAGGTCAGGAGTTCAAGACCAGACTGGCCAACATGGTGAAACCCTGTCTCTACTAAAAATACAAAAATCATTCGGCCGAGGTGGTGGTTGCCTGTAATCCAAGCTACTCGGGAGGCTGAGGCAGGAGAATCGCTTGAACCTGGGAGGCGGAGGTTGCAGTGAGCTGAGATTGCGCCACTACCCTCCAGCCTGGGTGACAGAGGGAGACTCCTTCTCCAAAGAAAAAACCTAACCGCCCCCCCCAAAAAAAACCAATCAAACAAAAAACCAATCTTACCCCCATGACGTTGCCTCTCTCTAGCCTCCCAGGGTATTTCTGTAGTCTCAATATTTGGCCTTAGCTATAAGAAAATTTCCTTACCATTACTCTTTGTTTATTGTGCAATTCTCTGAAGATATTCTTCTGATGGCATTCTTTCCTCTCCATTCCTTGTGTGTCATCATTATTTCTTGCTTATTCCTGTCTTGTGCTTACTTCCTGAAATCTGATCTATCCTTTAGGCCTATCTCAGAAGCCTTTATGAAGCCAGCCTGCACGGAGACACTTTCCTTCTCTGGAACCCATGGCACTTAGCTGCTATGGCTTTTGTGCTCATCAGCAAACTGGAATGCGCTTCCATTAGACTTATCCTTTCACCTTAGATTCCTTAAGGCAGGAACTGTCCTGTACTTAGCCTTGCTCTTGTCATGTTGTATTTACTTGATAATTATTCCTTGAATTTAACTGGAAATTCCAGTTTGGAAGGAGAGGACATATATACACGAAGCATGGTATATTTAAATAAACTGGAGTTAATTTTCCTTCAGAAATACCTCCTATTTAAGCCTTTGCCACACAGGTATAGGCCTGGAAATAAAAGGTGTGGCTAAAAGCTACCTGCTCAGAGAACTCTTTTTTGTTGTTGTTGTTTTGAGATGGAGTCTCGCTCTGTCGCTAGGCCGGAGTGCAGTGGCGCAATCTTGGCTCACTGCAACCTCCGTCTCCTGGGTTCAAGCGATTCTCCTGCCTCAGCCTCCCGAGTAGCTGGGACTACAGACATGCGCCACCACGCCCGGCTAAATTTTTGTGTTTTAATAGAGACGGGGTTTCACCCTGTTGGCCAGGCTGGTCTCAATCTCCTGACCTCGTGATCCGCCCGCCTCGGCCTCCCAAAGTACTGGGATTACAGGCGTGAGCCACCGTGCCCAGCCCAGATAACTCTTTTCTTCAGATTTTCTTTACAGATTCTTCAAACTGTAAAATAAATGAATACCATCTCTCATCACCTATACCTAGGAAGTGCTGAGTAACTCTTTCCTATGGACCCACTGAGTCAGAGGTTCACATCTGGTTGGGCAAGTAGTGGGTGTGATCAGTGATGAATATTCTTTTGGTTTCAGCACCAGCATCAGCTATTTATATGTCAGTGATGCAAATCTCCATATGCAGAGTCCTTGATACTGTTCGGAGTGCTTCCATACCCATGCCCAAACTGGACCCAGCGGGGGTGGCTGCCGAGAAAAGAAACTTGACAGAGCAGGTTCAAAGGGTCCCTGGTTTCTTGCACTGGAAGTATTAGGGTGGGAACACAGTGGGAGAAGAGAGGTGGAATGTCACAGTTCTGACAGCCCTTAGCATGGAGATAGCCAGCAGCCAATTAGATATGGGAATCAGAAGCCTAGCAGAGAGGATAGCTGGAGAGTACATTTCAAAGTCACTGCCATATAAACAGGAATTAAAACCCTGATAGTGGGTGGGATCGCCTGGGAGAGTACGGAGGAAGAGGAGGATGGATTCAGAATGGAGTCCCAGTGCTTGGGTAGTGCATGGAGGACAGGACCCCTGAACAGGCCGGCAAAGTGTGGGTAGAGAGGTCAAGGAGAGAGAGGAGAAGTTACTGTAGAAATCGATAACTTCAACAAATGAGAGAGAGGTCAGCTGTAAGGTAAGAACCAAGAAGGGCCCACTGGATTTGGCGTGGAGCAAAGGGATGGAGTGAGTGGAGTAAAAGCGAAGATGGAAGGTGGATTTCAGTGGTGCCAGAGGGGAATGGTAGTAAGGAGAGCGTAGTGGACATGGAGATGTGCTGCTCAGATCTCCCCCAAGGAAGGACTTGTTGCCCAGCTATGGGAGAGCAGTCAGCAGACAGCCTCCAGCCATCAGCTCCTTCAGGGTCCCCTGGCTGCAAAGAGCTGCCTGGTCCCTCTTCCTGGTCACACCCTTTCTCCTGGCAGCTCCATGTGGTGACTAAGCAGGGCTGGATATAAATGCCTGGCTCTTTCAGTTCAACTTGCTTTGCTTTGATAGACAATACTGCCCCAAGCTCTCTGCAGAGTTATGAGAGGTGTGGTTGGGCCTGCAGCTCAGTTTAACTTCTCCCTCTGCCCACTCCTGCTTCCTTGCCCTTATTCACAGGTGTTAATACCTAATTAACATCTTGCATCCCAACTTTATCTCAGTATCTGTTTCCAGAGAACATGGTCTCCAACAGAATCATGGGAACAAGTCTTCTGAAGAGTTTGAGAGCAGGAGTCGAGGGACGGGAAGGAGGTGTTAAAAAATTAGTAGGGAATGGTGACACGACTATAGTCCTAGCTATTGGGAGGCTAAGGTGAAAGGATCACTTGAGCTTAGGGGTGACTATACTCAGCTCTTCTCGGGGCTCACGAAACACTTTACAAAACATCTTTCTGTATCTCATTTGAGGGTTTTTGCCTACAGTCATTGCCAAGGCCACTTATCTGTAGTTTTCTTTTCTTTTTTATTTTTGGGACAGAGTCTCGCTTTGTCACCCAGGCTGGAGTACAGTGGCCTGATCTTGGCTCACTGCAAGCCTTGACTTCCTGGGCTCAAGTGATCCTCCTGCCTCAGTCCCCCAAGTAGCTGGGACTACAGGTGTGCACCACCACACCTGGCTAATTTTTTTTTTTTCTTGAGATGGAGTTTTTGCTCTTGTTGCCCAGGCTGGAGTGTGATGGCACGATCTCGGCTCACTGCAGACTCCACCATCCAGGTTCAAGCAATTCTCCTGCCTCAGCCTCCCGAGTAGCTGGGATTACAGGCATGCGCCACCACACCTGGCTAATTTTGTATTTTTAGTAGAGACAGGGTTTCTCCATGTTGGTCAGGCTGGTCTCGAACTGCTGACCTCAGGTGATATGCCTGCCGCGGCCTCCCAAAGTGTTGGGATTACAGGCGTGAGCCACCGTGCCCAGCTAATTTTTGTATTTTTTGTAGAGATGGGGTTTTGCCCAGGCTCATCTCAAACTCCTGAACTCAAGTAATCCACCTGCCTCAGCCTCCCAAAGTGCTAGGATTACAGGCGTGAGCCCCCACACCTGGCCTGATCTGTGCTTTTCAACATTCATCTTTTTTTCCATCTTTGGGAATCAGAGCCACACAATCTCCAACTTCTAATACCTTTCTGCCTCTTTGTGATTTCTCAGAGATCGTTGATAGTGACTTGGAGATACTCTCAGTTAATTTTTATTTTGGTACTTAGGAATGTAATCCATTCAGACCAGGAGGTTTGAACACATTTGGAGCAGCTACTCTTGCTGTTATTATTATTTTTTTCAGGTGTTATGGTGATTCCCACTTAGCAGTGGCCGTTCTGCTGTTTCCTAGTCAAATTCCATGCTGCTTACTGATAAGCTGGGGGCACTGGCTTCTGCTCTTGCTCTTTCTTCTGGAAACATTATTCTGTTCCTTTGGACATGGGCAAGGGTCCTGTCCCTAACTTGTCCTTCTTTTTCTTTTGATCTTAACCAGTTTCACTTGTACCAAGACCAAACTTTCTTACCTTTCCATGCAGGGAAACAGGCACCATCAAGATCAATGCCCTGGTACTCCTTATGTAGTGAGTGATAGATGCTCATGGAAAATGGGGAGAAAACTAAGGGGTGAAAGGGAATAACTCTAAAAAGGACACGTTCACACTTTCTGACAGCATAGTTGCATGTTTTCAATTTATTTTGGCCACCAGATGGCATAACTGGGCTCATTAAGATAAACAAAGAGAATGGCTACTACTCTGAAAAAACAAACAAAAAAAAACTCTAGATAATTAATGGTGAAAATGCCCCTGAGAAAGCTCATTTCTAATTCTTACTCCTAGCTGGCTTTTTATACACAGGCAGGGGAGACCCATCTTTGGAATTTTAAGGTTCAAAAAGGAATTTGTCTGTACCTGATGGCCAGAAAACCACACTGAAATCGTCAACTGGCATTTAGAATTGTCTGTTCTAAGAGTTAGAAATGAGCGTGTCTCTACCTGCTTCTAGCACACACCTTCCTTTGAGGTAAACTCCTTACTGTTGAGCCCTTGAATCTCGGAGTGGATGAAGAGGGTGATGAGGGATTGTAGCTAATATTAGCATTGTTGAGCTAAAATACCATCATATTTTGTCAGGAGAAGTGCTGACTGTCCTGTGGAATCTGAGGATGAGTGGCATTGGTCCCTAAGGATTAGCTTGTCCCTTTCGGTTACTTTTGAATATGATTTGGAACTTGTGGGGTTTGGGTTATGACAAGAAGGGAACTGAGAAAGTAAAAACATTCATTGCTTGTTTTGTGCTTCTACATATTTTTGACTCTGGGAGATTTTAAAGGTCTATTTCTAATATTTGTTCTAGGTGCATAGATTTGTTTATTCAACAAGCATTCCAGGCACCATATAGGGGCTTGGAAGAAAGAGTAAATAAGGCAGAGTTCCAACTTTCAAAGAGCTTTCTAATCTTGGTTTTTAGTCCCACAGGGGCAAGATGGGAATGCCATGAGAGGCTCTTTGATTGTGGCCCAAGGGAACACTCAGTGCCTAGATGTGTGAAGTGGGATGCAGCTCCTGGTGAAGGCAGAAGTCCTTTAAAAGTTTATTGATTGCAAAGAATAAACCAAAATGGGCCGGGTGCAGTGGTTCATGCCTGTAATCACAGCACTTTGAGAGGCCAAGGCAGGCGGTTCATGAGGTCAGGAGTTCAAGACCAGCCTGGTCAACATGGTGAAACCCCGTCTCTACTAAAAATACAAAAATTAGCTGGGCATGGTGGCGGGTGCCTGTAATCCCAGCTACTTGGGAGGCTGAGGCAGGAGAATCGCTTGAACTCGGGAGGCAGAGGTTGCAGCGAGCCGAGATGGCACCACTGCACTCCAGCCTGAGTGACAGAGTAAGACTCCATCTCAAAAAAAAAAAAGAATAAACCAAAATGACAAAGCTTCTTGATAACATCCCAGCCCATTTCTTCTTCTTCTTCTTTCACTTCTCCTTCTCCTTCTCCTTCTTCTTCCTCTTCCCCTTCTTCTTCTTCTCCTCCTTCTCCTTCTTTTTTTTTGGAGATGGAGTCTTGCTCTCTTGCCCAGGCTGGAGTGCAGTGGTGTGAGCCACCCCGCCCAGCCATCCCAGCCCATTTCTTATACAAGAAACATTGAGGGTTTACTAAAGAAAGAAAGAGACAGTAGAATAATGGGAACCACGTTGCAAAAATGTAAATTGCTCACTGGTGACTGCCAGGATTTTGATGATCTAATAAAATGACTGGCATATGAGGTGGGGAAAATGTACCCTCCTGTGATCAGCCAGAGGTTTCAGCAGCAGTGGAAGATGCATACCAGAAGGCGGTGCAAAGGGGGATTAGAGAGGATCTAAACTGGTATCAGGGATTGGGTGTGGTGGCTCACATCTGTTATCCCAGCACTTTGGGAGGCCAACATGCGAGAATTGCTTGAGCCAGGAGTTTGAGACCAGCCTAGGCAACATAGTGAGACCTCATCTCTGCAAAAGTTTTAAACAATTAGCCAGACATGGTGGTGCATGCCTGTAGTCCCAGCTACTCAGGAGGTTGAGGTGGGAGGATCACTCAAGCCCAGGAGACGGAAGCTGCAGTGACCCATAATCACGCCACTGCATACCAGCCTGGGCAGCAGAGCAAGATCCTGTCTCAAAAAAGAAAAAAAAACACAAAAACTGGTGTCGGGAAAAGTAGTTGGGAAGCTATGGAAATTGCTCCAGTGAGAGGTGATGAACATCTGAATTAGTGGCAGGAGTCTCTCTGAGCCTATTCAGTTTCAGGGGATTGCTTGATTTAAAAAAAAAAAAAAAGACAAATTAGCCGGGCGTGGTGGTGGATGCCTGTAATCCCAGCTACTTGGGAGGCTGAGGCAGGAGAATCACTTGAACCCGGGAAGCGGAGGTTGCAGTGAGCCAAGATGGCACCATTGCACTCCAGGCTGGGTGACAGTGCGAGACTCCATCTCGAAAAAAAAAAAAAAAAAAGGCAGTGGTTAAGGGACTGAGTGGGGACAGATGGGAGATGGATTTTAGGGTAGGAAGGGTGGATGTAAGTGTGAAGGAGAGGAAGAATGACTCTGGAGAGAACACCAGCTCCAGTGGCCTGACCCTAAGTCCTGTGTGCTTTCTCGCATATTGTGCTGCCTCGTCATATAACGAAGATTCCACTTTAGTCCAACTCTTCCATTTTACAGTGAAAGGAGAAGATTAAAACCCAGAAAATGGAAACCCTCATTTATGTTAAAGCTGAGAAATCAAGTGTCCCTTCCCTGATCCAATCCTCTTCCGCAGGTTCATGACAGGGTGCACATTAGAACTACCTGCAGAGCCTTCCAAGCGGCACGTGCCTGGCCCATCCCTAGATCCAGTGAACCAGAATCCCTGGGCTGGGACCACTGGCTCATTCCAGACAGTGCACAAGCATCTCTTCCTGGTGCAACCTTCCATAGCACGTTCCGCTTGGATCACTTTCTCTTTCTCTGTTTTATAATTGCCCATTACATACAGCCACTGATAACTGAAAAGGCTCGCAGTGTTTGGATGAGGAACCATATGCAAACAAATACCACAGTTCTTCCTTATAGACCCACTTAACTGATTTGCAAACATCTCACTGAAACCGCAGGGGAGAGGTTTTAGAAGGCTATGCTCCAGTAAGGAAAAATTAATGGAAGTAATTGTTCAGTAAGCAGTTACCAATCTAAGTTTTATAAAATTGATACTCTCTTTATGAGTGTATTTTAGTAAAAATAGGGAATAGCTTTTTTTTTTTTGAGACGGAGTCTCGCTTTGTCACCCAGGCTGGAGTGCAATGGCGCCATCTCGGCTCACTGCAACCTCTGCCTCCCAGATTCAAGCGATTCTCCTGCCTCAGCCTCCGATTACAGGCGCCCGCCACCATGCCTTGCTAATTTTTGTATTTTATAGTAGAGACGGGGTTTTGCCATGTTGGCCAGGCTGGTCTCGAACTCCTGACCTCAAGTGATCTGCCTGTCTTGGCCTCCCAGAGTGCTGGGATTAGAGGCGTGAGCCACCGTGCCTGGCTGGGAATAGTTTTAAAACATAAAAAACGCAAAAGTTTTAAAAAACATGGGTTTTCTAAAGATTTCGGTATTCCCTATCCCTAACTTTTCATAAAGTCCTGAGTTTCTTAATCACAATGTTTTCATCCAAGGAGGCTTTTAGGAACAGGACCCCAGGGTTAGGGCAGGAATACACTATTGTTATTTTAACAGTCTATCAACTAGAAAGGCAAAAAAAAAATTAGATTTTTTTCAATATTAATGAAGTTGAATTGTTCGTTGATAATTGTTAATTAGTTATGGTGTTTCTGTTATAAATTGTCTGTGTCTGAATTTCTCACACAGTACAATATAAAATACAAATAGCTGTGGGGTATTTTCTAGGTGCTGGTTACTGTTCTAAGAGCTTTAAATGGAGTAATTCAGTTAATCCTGCCTCACGGTACAATAATTAGTCTCGTATGACGGAGGAAATAGAAGCCTGGAGAGGTCAAGTAACTTGCCCAAAGTCATACCCAGAAAGGCTGGATTCAGAGACTGTTGCCAACATTTTCCTTATTTATTTGCATTCCATTTTTTTCTATTAAATATAAAAATTAGCCAGGCGCAGTGGCTCACACCTGTAATCCCAGCACATTGGGAGGCCGAGGAGGGTGGATCACTTGAGGTCAGGAGTTCAAGACCAGCCTGGCCAACATAGTGAAACCCTGCCTCTACTAAAAATACAAAAAATCAGCTGGACATGATGGCCTGTGCCTGTAGTTCCAGGTACTCAGGTACTCGAGAGGCTGAGGCAGGAGAATCGCTTGAATGTGGGAGGTGGAGTTTGCAGTGAGCCAAGATTGTGCCATTGCACTCCAGCCTGGGTGACAGAGCGAGACTTTGTCTCAAAAGAAAAAAAAAAATTTAAAAACTTTTTGTAGTTAAATCTATGCATATATTCCTTTCTTTTGTTGGCCTATTGTTTCAGTTAATTTGTTTTTTTACTTTTTTCCCATGTTTTACTTATTACTTTCATATTTCTTGTATGATATTTATCTTAAAATCTAGTTTTATTTTTCTTTAAGAGACTGGGAGTCTTGCTATGTTTCTCAGGCGGGTCTCGAATTTCTGGGCACAAGCGATCTTCCTGCCTCAGCCTCTCAAGTAGCTGGGAATTACGCCACCAACACACCTAGCTTCTTTCAGCTAATTTAGAACATCCTACCCTTTTCAGAGATTAAAAAATATTTAGATTTGCTCAGGATATGTTAGATGAAGTGAGGATTTACATCTACTATATGTATTTTCCCAAATATTAATAATTATTTCTCCTGAACCATTTATTGCATAATATTTTTCTGTTCCATTGTTATATGACAGCACGTTTCTGCCTGGTTGTAATCTCATAGTGGCTTGATTTTTAAGTGAACATTATATGTTTAACTGCCTCCTTGAGGATACTGAAGACTCTTTCCAATGATTATATTCTTTTCACTTCACCTGTCATGCATCAAGTGTTGATGTTGCTGGCTGCCTTTCTCAGTGTTAGTTTTTATGTGTTTTGGAATTTCAGCTTCCAGGTTCATTTCCAGGCTTTCTCTGTCTCCCTTCTCTTGTTCCTCACTCCTCCCTGCCTAGTGGCTGTGCAGTTGCCCTTCCCAGGGGCCAGTGTTCAGGACTAGGTCTTATATGGCAGTCGGGGCTCCTGCCCTGGGATAACCCTGGGAATGACTCACATCCAGCCCCATGGCTGTGGGTGGCTCAGTTAAGCCCAGGTGTGGTGCCGTTTGGTAACCATGGGCCTCCCTAGGCCACAGTCCCAGGCGAAGTTAGTAGCAAGCTATTTCAGTCTTCTTGAAGAGGGTGGAAGTGTGGGCAAGAGGGGAATCTGAGTCCCTAATATTTTCACAGTGACCATGACACTGGTCCCCCACCTCAGTGGGCAATTTAATTCTATCTCACCACTCAGTACTCAACAGGACTTGACTTCCCAGCTGCCTTTAACTGTACCCTGAGTCAGAACCCAACAGGCCACAGCTGTAGCCCTGTTCATCTTTTGCATTTATATTCAGTTTCTGGGAATATCTTTGGGGATATTCTCCCTTTGTGGAGCATTGCTTTTTAATTTTCTCTAATATTATATCTATCATTGCTCTGTATTGAAAGCCCCTGGGCTAGCCTGTTTCACTTGTGTCTATTTTTTAGAAGCATTTACTGTAGCTTTATACTACATATTTGGGGATCACTAACAATTTTTTCCGGTCACACTCTAATCACTTTCTCAAGGCTGGATCAGGTGCGAGACTCTGTAGCAGTAACCTGAAGTTGAGAATTGAGGAAGTAGTGCTGCTATGAGAGGAGACCTGCGGTGGCATCCCTAGGATGGGGTGCTGGTGGGGGGTGGGTGGCAAGGGGGAAAGGGGGTTTCTGCCTAAGGGAGTTTCTGCTCCATGCCAGCACTTCATCAGAGGTCTTGAGCCAGGGTGGAATCCAGCTCCAGGGAGCATATGAGAGCAAACAATGGAAGCTTGACATGATCACTGGATGAACATCTGAAGTTTCATATGTGATGGGATCTCCCCAGAAAACAATAGTGCACATCACAGCCAGGAGGCACCCAGAGCATTGTGTTGCTGTGTTTTTTGAACCCAGTGAGTTAACTGTCCAGTGTTCCACATCATTCTGACCTGGGTCAACAGATGGAGGCAGGGCACACTCTTGGCTGTAGCTCGATCCGCCTCTCCTGCTGCAGCAGGACATTTCTCAGTAGCACAGGCAAGGTGCTCCGGGCAGGGGACTGCATAGTAAGTGGTGCCTCCTTTGCAATATAAGCCAAACAAGGCTTCCTGCTGGAGCGCCTCTGGGCTAATTCAGGGGCATGAGAGGCAGCATCTACCCTTGCCCAGGGGCCCTGGCTCCCCTTTACTATGGGGGGTGGCCTGTGATCAGGCCCAGTGGGACTGAGGAGCAAATGTGGACAGTCTTCCCCGGCACACATCGGCTGACCTGCATGCCCAGACTGTCTCCTGGGGCGCCTGTACAAGTTGGTCCTAGAATCCAGTTCTTCCTGGAACTGGGTGTCATTTCAGGACAGAGAATACCGGGAGTCATAAATTGGCCCTGAAGCAAACGAAAGTCTTCCAATCCTGCATGACATAGCAGATTGTTTTGCTTGGGGCTTTGGCTTGGTCTGGGGCGTGCAGTTCCATGGGGGAACCTCTGGCAATCCCACCAGGGGGAGCCCTTTCCCCATCTTGGGGCTGTGGATCTCAGCTTTCCAGAATATTTGTGTGCATGTGAGTGAGCACATCTGACTTAATTTTTATATTCAGTATAGAATCATGACTCAGCTTTCCCTGTTAATGTAGTCAACTTAAGCTACTGCCATGGTTCAGGTTCCATCATGCTTCAAATATAGTTTATGACTGTAGTTACGTAGTGTGGCAGCAACACAGGGCAACTTGGGGCTGGGGAGAAGTGAGCGTGTCTTTCCCTCCCCAAATGCAGTCATTTAGCATCTTCCTCTTCCAGAGTCCTGTATCCCAGCGATGGGGATCAAGATTCAGACTTAAGGACACCCTACCTGGACCTTGGCAAGGAGATTTTTACAGTGGGAATCTGGTCCAGCCTCTCTCTGGCCCCAGGCCTCTACTGTCCACCTTTTACAAATGCCACATGGTAAGGAGTCAACTGAGCTACCTTCCAAGGAGCTGGATTGGTCTCCTGGCTCTGCCTGACCTTCCTCAGCCCCTCCGCAACCCCCACCTGCTCGCTTCTCCTTCACCTCCTCTCCTGTTCACCTGTACCTTCTTTCCTTAGATGTGGCCACACTCTGTTCCCCCAGGCAGCGTCTTCACTGAGTAGTCTTTGAATCATTAACCACCTGCAGCCCTATCCATGTTCTCTAGGGCACCTGCAAGAGGAGGAAGGGGAATTTGCTGATAGCCACAGCTGTGCATCCTACTGGAGGTGCCTTCCGGAGGGCAGCATAGTTAATCTAGACACCCAGCATTCTCAGTCCACTTCCATGGCCTTCTCTTCCCATTGCCTGGGTCTCAAAAGGCCCAGGACAATCTCATGAGGTGGACCGAGCAGTATTTGGGGAGGGAGGATAGAAAAGAGACTGGGATATCTTTAATTAATAGATACTATTAAAACCTCCTCCCCAGCAGCAGTAGTAGGGATCGTTAGTGGCAGCAAATCCATAGGGGTCTGCAGCAACCTCAATTCTTGCCTCTTTGGTCACTTACTGGGATCTTATTGGGAAACTGCTGATCACCAGTTTCAGATGTTTCTATTGGGAGACTGCCTGTCTCTGGTGCCAGCTGTGACCAATTATTTTAGAGAGCCCGTTAACAACTGCCTGACCCTCACCTGATGTTTGCCTGACATTCCTGTGGGTGTGTGTCTGGGGCGCCCTCTCCTGCCCTGCTCATCCCTGACTAGCTACTTACTCTAACAGGATGAGAAGACATACAAAATAGAGGCTACTTTAAAAAAAAAATTCTCAGAGTGTAGTGTGTAAACGTTCACCTCCACTATAAAGACCTCCTTGCCAGGGGTAGGAAGCCTTTAGTCTGAACCTTGAGCTCCGTCGCTGGGATACAGGACTCTGAAGAGGAAGACGCTAATGATGACATTGAGTTGACTCCACAGCATCTCACAATTCTTTCTTTTTCTAAGTCATCTGCATTTAGTATCCACTGACCAAGCAGGCAGGAAATGTAATTGAAGTTTTATTAGGGACTCCCCTATCTCTTCTCCTATGGGGTCCAGTGACTATCCCAGGGGTCTGACCCAGCCTAGAACATTCAGAGTCTGGGCCTCTGACCTTCAGACACAGCTGATATGAATGGGAGTCTTTGTGGTTAGTAAGGCCAAGGTTCTTAGCTAGTTTCCTTTGGAATCCCTGACCTCCCTCCATCCCCACTGTTGTGTGTGTGGGGTTCTATGTGGGAGCAGGGCTTCTCCTCACTACTCCAAGGACCCCCAAACCACATCCCTTCCACAGCATCTGGGAATCTCCCCCCACCCCCCACTCCCTTGAGCAGCTTTTGCCTCCTTCAGTCCAGTGTGCTTACCTCTCTCCCCTGGCAGAGAACCCAGGTGCTGGGGGGGGTCTCCTCTGGATGCCTTGCCAACTTCTTTTTTTTTCTTTCCAACTTCTTCTCTTGGTGAGGCTACGCAAAATCTTCTGGGGCCAGGATGTGCAAACGCTTCCTGGAATGGGGTAGAACAGTGACAAAACAGGAAGAACAAAAAACCACATGTTAATATCTCAAGAAAGTATCCAGCCACCATAATGAAGGGGCTTCCAGGCTCTGAGGGAAGACCACTGAGCTGAGGGGCCTTTGCACTCTATTCCAGGGAAGATAATGGATGCCCAGAAGAAGTGGGACATTTGGAGCCCCAGACAAACCAATGACACAGACTGAGACACTGTGGAGCTGGATGCCTTTCTGTGTGTTTGTTAGAGTATGAGAAGCCCGCTGGGAACAAGTAAGGGCATCCCTAACCATCAGTGTCCATTGCCCAAGAGAGATGGCAGAAGTGGGTTGGTCCAAATCCTTTCCGTTGTAAATGTGGAGGGCTAACATTTTGAAATATTCTCTGGCCAGGTGCGGTGGCTCACACATGTAATCTCAGGTACTTGGGAGGCTGAGGCAGGAGGATCACTTGAGCCCAGGGGTTCCAGGCTGCAGTGAGCTGCAATTTTGCCACTGTACTCCAACCTGGGTGACAGAGAGAGACCTCATCTCTAGAAAAAAAAAAAAAAAACTTCTGATTTATTTCATCTGTATCTCTCCCTCCTCCCCTCCCACTCCCCAGCCCTTCTAGCAGTTGGGGTAGGAGGGTGGGCAGTCAGCAGAAAGCAGAGCCAAGCAGCATCTTCTGCCTCATAAATTTCAAACATGAGACCTCATGGGAACTGAAAGGATTTATGACATAGGCCAGGTATTTAGGAGAAATGGACACTAAGAACAACCATCCCCTCACCTTCCAACAGAAAGGGGTTCCCTTGTGCTGGTGGGGCAGAGGGGCCATAATAACAATGTGCACATTTGTGGGTATTAGAGAAAGGGGTCCCTGGGCTGAGTCCTGGGGAGGTGGCAGAAATGGCAGACAGGTTTGTGGGGTCAGACAGAAAGCTCTGTCTTGCTTCGTCTTTGAGCCAAAGGGGACCTGGAGCCCCTGAGTTGGGGGCACTGTGTGGTGCCCAGTCACACTCTCCGTGGTGTCCTCAGTGAGTGGCACTCATTGAGGGACAGGAGGAGCAGAGCTGCTCCCAATAGAGAAGCACTGGAGCCCACACTGCCTAAAGTGGGAATGACCCAAATAGCCTTCAGCAGGAGAAAGGGGAGGAAAATTGTGGCATATGCATGCAGTGGAATATTTCTCAGCACTGAAAATGAATGTTCCTATAACTGCATGTGATAACAGGCAAATCTGCAGACATAAAGTCGAGTGAAAGAAGCCAGCTGTGAAAGAGCACATTGTATGATTCCATTTATATAAAGCTCAGGTCCAGGCAAAATGGTAGTAGTGAGGAGAGAGGTTGTCCTTTGGGGAGGGTAGTAACTAAAAGGCACAGGAGGGGGCCCCTGGCATCCTGGGAATGTCCTTTCCTTAATCTAGGCACTGGTTGCATGCATATGCTGTTTGCGAAAGTTCTTTGAGCTGTACATTTAAAATTAATGCACTTCTCTGTATGTATGTTTTATTTATATAAAAACATTTTTTTAAAAGATAGAAGTAGCTGGATGCAGTGGCTCACGCCTGTAATCCCAGCACTTTGGGAGGCCAAGGCGGATGGATCACCTGAGGTCGGGAGTTCGAGACCAGCCTGACCAACATGGTGAAACCCCATCTCTACTAAAAATACAAAAATTAGCCGGGTGTGGTGGCACATGCCTGTAATCCCACCTTCCTGGAGGCTGGGAGGTGGAGGTGAGCTGAGATCGCACTACTGCATTCCAGCATTCCAGCCTGGGCTACAAATGAGACTCTGTCTTTCAAAAAAAAAAAAAAAAAAAAAGGACTTTCTGCTCTTTCCTGCTTGACATCTTCCTTGACTCCATTTTCTTTTTGATCACCTTTTTATGGCTTCCTGAATTGATCTCATGGATTTTTTATCTGCATCAAAAATGGAAATGGATTAGATGTTGCGATTTTTAGGGTATAAAATTCAATGATTAATTTTATGTGTCAATTTGATTGTGTTGCACTACAGGGTGCCCAGATTAAATAACATTTCTTGGTGTGTCTCTGAGGGTGTTTCTAGGTGAGATTAGCATTGTGGACTCAGTAGATTGTCTTCGCCAGTGTGGTGGGCATCATCTAATCTGCTGAGAGCCTGAACAGAACGAAAAGAGGAAAGAGAAATTCACTACTGTTTCTTCCCGCCTGCGCGCTGGAACTGGAATATCAGTCTTCTTCTCTCCTTGGACTGAGATTTGTACTATTAGCTCCCCTGGTTCCTCTGGTCCACAAGATTGTGGACATAGACTGGAATTATATTACTGGCTTTCCTGGGTCTCAGTTCGCTGATGGCAGACTGTGGGACTTTAGAGCCTCCATAATAATGTGAGCCAATTCCTCATTCTATCTATCAATCTATATATCGATTGATTGATCGATCGATAGATCGATCTATCTAATCTATCTATCTACTTATCTATCTATCATATCATCTACTGATTTCTCTCTCTCTCTTCTTTTTTTTTTTTTTGAGACAAGATCTCACTCTGTTGCCTAGGCTGGAGTGCAGTGGCACAATCCTAGCTCATTGCAGCCTTGACTTCCCAGGCTCAAGCAATCCTCCAGCCTCATCCTCCTGAGTAGCTAGGACTACAGGTGCCCACCACCATGCCCAACTAATTTTTAAACTTTTTTTACAGATGAGGTCTCACTATGTTGCCCAGGCTGGTCTCTAACTCCTGGGCTCAAGCGATCCTCTCACCTCGGCCTCCCAAAGTGCTAGGATTACAGGCATGAGCCACCGTGCCTGGCCCTGATTTCTCCTATTGGGTCTGCTTCCCTGGAGTACCCTAATACAGATGGGTTTGTGTTATTGAGAGCCCTATTTGCTGCCTCCTTCACAAGATGCTAGCTGAACTCTTGAGCATGGGCATCAGCATTGGTAAATCTGGCAGTAAGGCCTGTGGGCTGCTCACATCAGCCAGGCAGACATTTGATTAAGTTTGAGATCTTGATGTCTTCACCAGAGCCACTAAGTTTTATATATGCCATTGTTGAAGCCAACCCCAACTCACCTGGCAATCAGCTGGAGGAAGGGGACTACTTCTATTCATTGCAGATTTAAAAGTTGGCTACATATCCTTTGCTACTTCTCCCATTGGGAGGTGGGGACCCCTTAAATCTGGGTGGCTGTGTGGCTGCTCGAGCGACACAAATTGTTGGAAGTGATGCTAAACCAGCTTCCAGCACAGGATTCAATAGCACCTTCCACCTCCTGTCTCCTGGAGCATTCTCTGGGAGCCTGAATCACCATGTAAAAAGTTCAAAATCAGGCTGGGCACGGTGGCTCACACCTGTAATCCCAGCACTTTGGGAGGCTGAGGCGGGCGGATCATGAGGTCAGGAGTTCAAGACCAGCCTGGCCAACATGGTGAAATGCCGTCTCTACTAAAAATACAAAAATTAGCTGGATGTGGTGGTGCGCACCTGTAATCCCAGCTACTCAGGGGGCTGAGGCAGGAGAATTGCTTGAACCCCGGAGGTGGAGGTTGCAGTGAGCTGAGATTGCACCACTGCACTCCAGCTCTGGGTGACAGAACAAGACTCTGTCTCAGGAAAAAAAAAAAAAAAAAAAAAAGTTTCAAATTCAGGCTGGGCACAGTGGTGCTCCGTAATCCTAGAACTTTGGGAGGCTGAGGCAGGGGGATTACTTGAGGTCAGAAGTTCAGACCAGCCTGGTCAACATAGTGAGAGTCCATATCTACAAAAAAGAAAAGATTAGCCGGGAATGGTGGCTCACGCCTGTAGTCCCAGCTACTCAAGAGGCTGAGGCAGGAGGATTGCTTGAGACCTTTAAGGTTGTAGTCAGCTATGACCATGCCATTGCACACCAGCCTAGGCAACAGAGCGAGACCCTGTACCCCTCTTCCCCCCAAAAGAAGAAGTTCAAATTCCCTGCCACTGCCTGCTGGAGTGGCCGAGTATGGTACTCTGGCCAACCACTAGCAGAGCCCAGCTGTCCCCACAAAGGTGACAAAAATGTGAAGGAAGCTGTCTTGAACACTCCAGACCAGCCAGCTGCCGAAGATGGCATTGAGTGACTCCAGTTAACATCAAGCAGAGTAGAATTGCTGAACTGACAGACACAATTTTTTATGTAAGGAAGTGGCTGTTGTTGTAAGCCACTAGGTTTGGGATGGCGGTTGCTCAGTGATAGATAACTGAAACAGCTGTATCTGCACCTGGACCAGAGCTTTCATGCCCAGGGTGAGTAGCTTCTTGGTTCTGTAAGGCTCTGTCTCCTTCAACTCACTTTGCCGGGTTGCGGCTACAGCATTACCCAGCTCTTCATTCCATTACAGTTCATCAAAGCTCCCATGCCAGGCTTGTGGCAGGGTAATTTACTGTGGAATTGTTTTGTTTTGTTCTTGTTGCTCTGTGTATACTCCCCTCACCAAGAGAGTTACTGGGCTTTTTGTTCCCAATTCTGAGGCTCTTTCTTGAGTATGGAGAAGGTGGGTAGTGATGGCATTTGGATTATGCGCAAACACCTAGGCTAAGAGAGGCAGAAGTGGACTGTGGGTGTGTCTTGAGCAGAGGTTGAGATTCTCTAGGGTCTGGAAATTTGGTGCTTTCTCCCCACGAGTGAGGAGACCCCCACTTCTGCCCAGAGCATTCCCAGGCTGAAGGATTGCTGGAGAATGCCCAGAGAAGCCATGATTTCTCCCAGCTAGGGGCACAGAGGCCAGGGTCCCCAGGGAGATTCTACTATGGGTGATGTGGACATTGCTGATGTGAGGGGAAGTGCTGGGCCTGACCCAGAGGACATCACTCCAGGACTTGACTGTAGCCTCTGAAAGTAGAGGCAGCTAGAGAAACAATAGTGGCTTCTATGGGCTAAATGTCTCTGTCCCCCCATAATTAATATGTTGAAAACCCAACCCCCAGTGTGATGATATTTGGAGGTGGGGCCTTTTGGAGGTACTTAGGTTTAGCTGAGGTCATAAGGGTGGAGCCCCCATGTGTGATTAGTGCCCTTATAAGACGAGTTAGAGACCAGAGCTCTCTCTCGGCCATCGGTAGTGAGAAGGCTGCAGTCTGAGAATCAGGAAGAGAGCCCTCAGCAGACATCAAATCTGCTGGTACCTGGATCTTGGACTTCCTAGTCTCCAGAACTGTGAGAAATACATATTCATTCAGCTGGGTGTAGTGGCTCACACCTGTAATCCTAGTACAGGTTTGGGAGACCAAGGTGGGCAGATTACTTGAGCCCAGGAGTTTGAGACCAGCCTGGGCAACATGGGGAAAACCCCATCTCTACAAAAATACAAAAACTTAGGCTGGCATGGTGGCTCATGCCTGTAATCCCAGCACTTTGGGAGGCCAAGAAGGGCAGATCACCTGAGGTCAGGAGTTCAAAACCAGCCTGGCCAACATGGTGAAACCCCATCTCTACTAAAAATACAAAGAATTAGCTGGGCATGGTGGCGGGCACCTGTAGTCCCAGCTATTCAGGAGGCTGAGGCAGGACAATTGCTTGAACCTGGGAGGCGGAGGTTGCAGTGAGCCGAGATTGTGCCACTGCACTCCAGCCTGGGTGACAGAGCGAGACTGTGTCTAAAAAAAAAAAAAAAAAGAAAAATTAGCCAGATGTGGTGGTATGCACCTATAGTCCCAGCTGCGCGGGAGGCTGAGGTAGGAGGATCACCTGAGCCTGGAAGGTTGAGGATGTAGTGAGGTGACATTGCAACACTGCCCTCCAGCCTGAGTGATACAGTGAGACCCTGTCTCAAAAACAAACAAAAACATATTTGTCATTTAAGTCACCTAGTCTCTGGTATTCTGTCACAGCAGCTAGAGCGAACTAAGTTGGCTATCCTGAGTACTAAGGACCTGGCCTTGCTCCCAGCTTTTCTGGTACTGCCTAAGCCCCTGGTATTTTGTAATGTGTTGGAGGGAGGAGACAGCCCCACTAATGACTAGGGTTGAATTTCCTCCCAGTCTTCTGGGTAGGACACAGAGCAGATTACATTTGATTGAGTAAAAGTAAGGAATGTGACATTTCATGCACATTTTATAGCCCCAAATGACAAAAATAACATGCTTCTCAAGCCACCTGGAACATTTTATAGCTTTCTGTTTTTTTTGCATTGTAGGCTCCTGTGTCCATCAATTTATCAGCATTTTTCTTGGCAAGGATTCCCTGAAATGTCTCCAAGTTTGGAAATTTTGTCTTTATGAAAAGTGGGGCATGGGACCAGAGGAGGGACTTGGTCAGAAAAACAAAATACGATTATTTTTGATCCATGTCCTTATTTCTTGGTTACTAAATAGCTGCCCTCTGTATTTCTTTGATTTTAATAAATCGTCCAGATATGGATTTTTAAAATTCTATGTATGTTTTTTGAGACAGGGTTTTGCTCTGTCACCCACGCTGAAGTGCAGTGGCTCACTGAAGCCTTCAACTCTTGGGCTCAAGCAATCCTCCCACCTCAGCCTCATGAGTAGCTGGGACTACAGCCATGTGGCACCATGCCTGGCTAATTTTTAAAATTTTTTTAGTAGAGACAAAGTCTTGCTATGTTGCCAGGCTGGTCTTGAACTCCTGAACTCGTCATCCTCCCACCTTGGCCTCCTAAAGTGCTGGGATTACAAGTGTGATCCACCACACCCAGGCCTAGTTTTTAAAATGATATTTCATTTATGTAGTTCAAATAAAAATGACATCAATAAGTACATGAGAAATATCACTCCTACCCCACACTTACCCTCTCTTTTTCCCCTCACATTGCTCGTCAGTAACCATTTTTACCAGAATAGTGCCTTATTTATTCTCCCAACGTTTCTTTATGCAAACATAAATAACATACTTTTATTTCCTCTTTTATTACACAAAAAAAGCATGTTATATACATCTTGCTCCTTCCTTTTAAAATCGTAACTAAATATACTGGGTATCCTTCCCTATCACCACGTAAAGCTGTTCCTCCTGCCTTTTTCATTTTGACAGCTCTATAGTATTCCATTGGTGGATCGACCAGAGCTGTGTGTTCGCCAGTCTCCTATTGCTGGGTTGTTGGGCTGTTTCTGATCCGTTGTTATTATAAATAATGCCACAATGAATAACCTTATACCTAAGCAAGTTTACCTTTGTGTAGGTGAATCTATAAGATAGATTCCCAGAAGGGGGATCTCTGGGTCAAAGGGTTTGTGCATGTATAGTTCTGGTAGATATTGCAGGTCTGCTCCACAGAACTGTGCCATCTGCACTGCTGCCAGCAATGCATGGGACAGTCTGTTTCCTCTCAGCCTCCTTCACACACTGTGATATCATATTCTGGACTCTTGCCAACCAAGGAAAGATTTATGTATAAGTTCAACATGGATGCACTTAGGCTAATTCTCCTTCCTGCATTTCCTTCAGAACATCCTCAGTCTCCTCACTCATTTCAGATACCTTAATTAGCTTCCATTTTTCATGACACAGGTTAGCCATGTTTATATTTCCTTCGTGATCATCACAGTTATGAAAGATTTCTTCTTGGGTTGATAGGTTAAGTAACCATGGTCCAGTATTGGTTATTGCAATCAAACCAACAGCTACAGGTGGCTTGGATTGTTTTAGATGGAATTGGTCTCAAATTTAAAAGGTCACTTTGTCATTCTTTGTATCATTGTTATTCATGTCTGTATCTTTTACAAATATATTTATTTAATATTTAATAAGACAAATAAAATGTTAAAAATTATTTTGTCCTGGGAAAGCCCAAGCCTTCCTGCACAGAAGTTGAAATATTCAAAGGACAAGAAAAGGCCTCTGGTACGGTCCTGTCTTGGACAGTTTCCCCGGCCACCCAGCAGGCTGCCTATTGTGCTGTTTGAGATGCAAATGATCTCTTCTTATGCTGGGGAACCTTCTAGGCATGGCAGGGGCAGTGGAGAGGCTACTTCCTCTCTCTCTTTTTTTTTTTTTTTTTTTTTGAGACGGAATTCTCACTCTGTTACTAGGCTGGAGAGCGGTGGCATGATCTTGACACACTGCAACCTCTGCCTCCAGGGTTCAAGTGATTCTCCTGCCTCCGCCTCCCGAGTAGCTCGGACTACAGGCGCATGGCATCACGCCCAGCTAATTTTTGTATTTTCAGTAGAGACGGGGTTTCACCATGTTGGCCAGGATGGTCTCAATCTCTTGATCTCGTGATCTGCCTGCCTGAGCATCCCAAAGTGCTGGGATTACAGGCGTGAGCCACCGCACTCGGCCACTTCCTCTCTTTTTTTGCCCACTTCTCTAGCTAGTCCCAAGACTTGTTCAACTCTTTCTTATGGATGGTTTTGCAGAATACATACATGGAAACCGTCCACAAATTCTAGCCCACCAATTAATGCTGTCAGACTGGGAACTTCATGAAAAGCCTGCTTGAAACAAAAAATTGAAAATAAGTGGCTTAAACAAGGTAGATATTTATTTCTCTGCTTTATCCACGAGGTCTGAGATGAAACGTCCAGGGCAGGTGTGGAGGCTCCCTGGCATGATGGACCCAGGCTCCTGTCTTCTGTTCCTGTCATCTTAGTGTGCTTCCTTCTACCCTTAGGGTGGCCTCATGGTCTGAGATGGCTTCAGGACTCTCCACTTCAGGCCTTTTGGAGTCCATGATTTCTTTTCTTTTTTTTTTTTTTGAGATGGAGTTTCTGTCTTGTTGCCCAAGCTGGAGCACAGTGATATGATCTTGGCTCACTGCAACCTCTGCCTCCCAGGTTCAAGCGATTCTCCTGCCTCAGCCGCCCGAGTAGCTGGGATTACAGGCACCTGCCACTGTGCCTGGCTAATTTCTGTATTTTTAGTAGAGACAGGGTTTTACCATGTTGGCCAGGCTGGTCTCGAACTCCTAACCTCAGGTGATCCACCCGCCTTGGCCTCCCAAAGTGCTGGGATTACAGGAGCGAGCCACCGCGCCCATCCATGATGTTCTCATGGCCAACATCCTGAGGTCTCCCAAAGGCAAGGGCTTCTTTGCTTGCCCACTGGTTTGGGTACAGATATATTTGTGGACTCTGGAGTCCAGGTGTCAGGGTATAGCTTCCTGAGGTGCCCCAGGCAGCTGGTCTCCTCTGAGGCCTTGATGATAGCCCTTGACATGCCTGGGGCTGTGGAGCTGGGGATGGTCTCCACCCCACAGGGATCCACCTACCTCAGCCGGTATCCAGTCCAGGGCCTCTGTCTTCTTGGCTGCCCTCAAGGCACTGGGCTCCTTTAGACACTCCCCACCACACCCTTAATCCTCTCAGGGAACTCCAGTCTCCAGCAAACAAAGGCCTGAAAAGTGTCTACAAGGAAATTCTGAGTTCAGGTTTCTGAGGTGAAGGAGCACAAAGTCCTTTCTCCTGGCTTGGAAGTGCAGGGTGGTGCGAAGAGTGGGAGGGAGGCAGGGTTAGGTGAGGAAAAAACAGAAAACACAAATTAATTTGACAATGATATGTTAACTTAAAAATCACAACTTTAGGCTGGGCAGACAGTGGCTCTTGCCTGTGATCCCTGCACTTTGGTAGGTGGAGGTGGGAGGACTGCTTGAGGGTAAGAGTTCGAGACCAGCCTGGGCAACATAGTGAGGCCCTTTCTTTACCAATAAATAAATAAATAAATAAAAATTAGCTAGGTGTGCTGGCACACGCCTGTAGTCCTACCTACTCAGGAGGCTGAAGTGGATCCCAGTAGTTTGAGGCTGCAGGGAGCTATTTACTCCAGCCAGGGCAACAGAGTGAGACCCTGTCTCTTAAAAAAAAAAAAAAAGAAAAGAAAAATCATAAATTTGGAAAGGAGAGCTTTATTTCTTTTAAAGAGTTACTGCTGACTGGGCATTGTGGCTCACATCTGCAGTCCCAGCACTTTGGGAGGCTGAGGTGGGTGGATCGTTTGAACCCAGGAGTTCGAGACCAGCCTGGCAATACTGATGCAGAACTTTGCTCCTCAGTTCAGC
The DNA here is from genome assembly GCF_000001405.40 of Homo sapiens. NCBI lineage: Eukaryota > Metazoa > Chordata > Mammalia > Primates > Hominidae > Homo > Homo sapiens. The sequence continues at coordinate 2,096,870 of NT_167245.2, forward strand.
TAAAACCGGGTTCTTGTCACATGACCAGGAAAAGTTAAGCAGGCAGACACTTTGAAGGGTGAGGGGAATGGAATTTTTTGGGTGAAAAAGGAAAAGAAGAAAAGAAAAACCTCTCAGCAAAGAGCAAGGGGGGTTCCTGCCAACAGGTCCCCACTCCACAGATTGATTCCAGGCCACACACAGTAGCTGAAGAGGCCAGGCTCCTCCCCGACCACTGCACACTCGGCACGAACTTCCCGTGGCTCCACCCCATTTTCCCAGTATGCAGGCAGGTGATTCTCCAGGGACCCTCCCCTTTATCTGTCTCCTGCATCTATCATTATCTATTTTATTTTATACATTTAAAACACTATTCTGCCGGGTGTGGTGACCTGCACCTGTAGTCCCAGCTACTCAGGAAGCTGAGGCAGCAGGATCTCTTGAACTCAGGAGGTGGAGGCTGCAGTGAGCTATGATCATGACAATGCACTCCATCCTGGGCAACACAGCAAAACCTTGTCTCAAAACAAACAAACAAAAAACAAAACCCCACCATTATTCTCAGAAGTACAGCAGCTTTCACAAATTGCCAAAGGGGTCTGTTTTAGGTTAGTTTCCTTCAGAAGCAGATCTGGAGACAAAGATTTGAAGCAAGGAGGTTATTAGAGAGGAAATCCCTGGCATAATTGATAAAGTAGACAGGAAAGGGCAGAAGCCAGCATGGGGTGCATCGATGAGCAATGAACTTAATGAACTCCTTGGCTCAATCCCACTGGGACCTTCAAGAGACTACTGTATAGAGCATGCCTCGGAGTCATCCTACCCTTGAGGAAGCTGGGGTATTTCTTCACCAAATCCCATTTCACTTGAGGGCTGCCCCCAGGGCACTGACATTTCTAGCCTGCCCTACCCATGGGTAGTGCTCCTGTGACTAGGGTAAGTCCTCAACAGTGTCAGAGGCTTAAAGACGGAGCCATCTGAATGGCAACCTTAGAGGACAAGTGGGTAGGGCACAAAGTTTGGCTACAAGGCCTGCAGCACTAAAAGGTTAGGAACGCCTCAGAGCTGCCCCTTTTAGGATGGACCCACTCAGCTCCCCGGTTCCCACTCCCTGACATCTGCTTTCTGTCCGCTGCTCAGTGTCTCCAGTGGATTCACAAAACAACTGCCTTTCTCCCTTTCCACCTCAGTTCATTATCAAGAACAACCCTGGGGTTTCCCACCTTAATCAGGCTGCTCCGGCCTCTGCCCACAGCCCTTCTGACACCTGGTTTATGTGTGACCCTGCCACCCTTAACCCCCAGCAGCAGGGGATGTCAGCTTTCTTTCAGGGAAGAACACAGACTCCTTTTGAGAGACTATAGTGAGATAATTTTGTAAACTGAAAATAAAATCCTAAGCCCCCCAGTTGACTTAATGGACCCCCTCTTGGCCAAGGGGACCCCAGAGAAACCTTAAAAACTGAGTTCCCAGGCAGGAGAGGATGGGAGGTCAGACACACCTCGTCATACCTCATCCCTTTTGTGGTTTAGACAACCACTGACCAGCATTAATAAACCAGAGATCATAAGACTGACAGAACAAAGTATTTGAGCCAATGAAAGACCAAACTATAAACAAGACTTAAGGCCATGGCAGGTCAGGGTTAAGTCACACACCCCTGCACTTAAAGAAAAAGTGTTCTGCCACAAGGTTTTAATTTTTCTCTAGCAGCCAAACAAACATTGGCCTTGAGATAAGCAAGATTAAAACAACTTGCAGATCGTCCATCAGCCAAAACTACAGCTTGGGTTGAACACGAGACTGATTTCAGTAACCTTCTCCTGATAAGAAGACTACTGACCATGGACTGGTTCTGGCTGGTTTACAGATGCTGCATACTTGAGTTTGCTTGTGTCCTGAAAAGACCTTTTGATGTATAAGACCTAATTGTAATACATTTATTTTTTTTTAATTAATTTTTTTTTTTTTTGAGACGGAGTCTCACTATCGCTTAGGCTGGAGTGCAGTGGTGCGATCTCGGCTCACTGCAAGCTCTGCCTCCCAGGTTCATGCCATTCTCTTGCCTCAGCCTCCCGAGTAGCTGGGACTACAGGCACCCGCTACCATGCCCGGCTAATTTTTTTTGTATTTTTAGTAGAGACGGGGTTTCACCCTGTTAGCCAGGATGGCCTCGATCTCCTGACCTCATGATCCATCTGCCTCAGCCTCCCAAAGTGCTGGGATTACAGGTGTAAGCCACCGCGCCTGGCCAGCTGTAATACATTTAAATGCTAAGTCTCCACCCTAAGGTGCACATGGGTCATATGCAATATACTAGTTTATTCAGTATATGTGCTTCAGGACCACTTTCATGAATATTCATAGCTCCTTCTGTAACCTGTTGAATATGTATACTTGGCCAACCCAGTCAGATTAAATTCCTTTCTTATTCCTCCTCGTCCCTCAAAGTTCATTCTCTAGGCTCTGCCAGAGGCTATGCTTCCCACTAGTCCGAATGGTACATTGTAGGCTGCAACTCTTTATTTTTATTTTATTTTTAAATTTATTTTTGAGACACGGTCTCACTCTGTCACCCAGGCTGGAGTGCAGTGGTGCAATCACAGCTCACTGCAGCCTCGACCTCCCGGGCTCAGGTGATTCTCCAACCTCAGCCTTTCAAGTAGCTGGGACCACATCCGTGCACCACCAGGCCCAGTTAACTTTCACAATTTTCTTGGAGACAGGGTTTCACCATATTGATAGATGCAGGAGGTAGATAAGGGAAAGGGTCCCCAGAGAATCTCTGACCTGCCTATGCACTTGGGAGAAGGGGGTGGAGCCACGGGAAGTTCGTGCCATGTGCAGTTGGGGAGGAGCCTGGCCTCTTCAGTTCTTGTGTGTAGCCTGGAATCAGTCTGGGGGTGGGGGTGCTGTTGGCAGGAACTCTTCTTGCTTTGCTGAGAGATTTTTTTTTCTTCTTTTCCTTTTTCACCCAATAAATTCTGTTCCCCTCACCCTTCAATGCGTCTGCGTTCCTAGCTTTTCCTGCTTGTGTGACAAGAACCTGGTTTTAGGGTTTAAGGAACAAAGTTCTGCATCAATAAGATTCAAAAGAAATCATTCTATTGAAATATGATTCTAGGCACAGGCTAGTTGGGGGTCTCTGAGCCCCAGATCCCACAGCTGTGCTGAGATGCCTGCCCACAAGCTCAAGGAGCATGTCTAGGAGTCCACGGAGGCAAGCAGAGGCAGGAAGAGGAGACCAGAATTCAGCTGCCGGTGGTGAGCCTCAGGAAACTCTTTATCAAAGCCTAGAAAAGCCAAAGGTGGGCCCGAGAGGGAAGAAAGAGACAAAGAGATGGGAAGAAGATGGAAGTAGGACACTTAGAGTGGGAAGGAAAAAGAGCAAGAGAAAGTGAGAGGGAGCAGCAGAGCCCTGGGAAGGGAGCTTGAAGGGGTGGGGCACGTTTGGAAGCCTCTGTGATTATTTGGGGAAGGCTGATTTTCTAGTGCCTTGGGCTGGGCCCATGCAGGTTACTTCCTACCCAGCTACCTTCCTGGCTCTTCTGCCCAGGGAGCTCCTTCTGCCAGTCCCCAGCCTACTGCACTTCTTCCTTATATGCTTGGAGTGTGTGGAATGCTGCTCACCACTCTGGGGCAGTTGGAGACTGAGATAACTCCCTCCCTGGAATGTAGGGAATTTGGTGTGCTGGAAAGAGAGAAAGAGAGAGGGAGACAGAATGTACCTTGCAGCAGCACAGCTGGGTTCTGGATGGGCTCCATCTCTGAAAGAGAGGGGCAAAAGGGTTGGGGAAGGGGTAGCTGCCGGTCTTAGTGAAGGGTCCCCGAGGCACTAGCGTGTCCTCACATTTGTGCTGCCTGCTTCCCAGAAGACTCAGCACATGGGGAAAGTGGTGCCAAGGGCACACCCACCAGCCACACTGTGGAGCTTGGACACCTGGGGCAGGATATTCAGTAGTCGGCCTGGGGACCTCCAAAGATGCTTTCCCATTCCTTAGCCTGTCAGCCTTGGTAGGGACATCACTTTCCTCCTTATCCTTCAATGAGGACATTCAAGACAACATCCCTGAGCTGGAGGAAACCCAGCCTCACCTCCTCCTTCCACCCCTCATCTCCTAAGCTCCCCATCAGTGGTGTCTGGGGTGTGGAACGTGGGGAGGCAAGGAAGACAGCTCACCTGGCCCAGGCTTCAATGCTCAGCCCCTCTTATTCCTTCTAGCAAGAGCTTCTTGCAAATACCTCAATTTTTTTTTTTATCTTCTGCAGCTGATGCTCAAACTGTCAACTTGTTACTTGAGACCATGAATGTTGGTTATAAGAATTTGTTGACTTTTTAAAAAAATAAAAATGATGTTTGCCCACTTAAAGTTTTAAATTCTGTTTTTCAGAGGAGTTTTTTTTTTTTTTTTTTTGAGACAGTCACCCTCTGTTGATATGGCTCTGATGAGTGGAGGAACACCAGGGCTCTTGTCTCACATCGAATTAGATAAGATGACACGAACACACGTGGAGTGGTTTTAAGGAGCGGAGAGTTTAATAGGCAAGAAAGAAGGGAGAAGAAAGAAAGAAGAAACTCCCTTGTACAGAGACAGAGGGAGGGGGGCTCCAAAGCCGAGAGATGGAACCCCGCACTTAGGTAATACCAGCCAGCTATATTCGATGGGTGGAGGAGGCAGTATCTGATCTGCATAGGACTCAGGGGATTGGTTTGACCAGGCATGTCATTCATGTAGCCGGCGAAAAAGCTGGCCCTCCCACCCTAGCCTTTTAATATGCAAATGTAGGGCTGTGTCATGTTCCACACACGTGGGGATATGTGGGGGCGGCCATGCTGCCAGGCACATGTAGGGGCAAGGGCAAGAGGACAAAGGTGGGAATAGCCTTGTTGGGTGGACCCAGTTTCTAACAGCTAGCGTTTGCATATCAAAGGTTGCTGGCCCAAGTCTAAGAGCCAGGGCTTTCATGCTAGACAAGAGCTGTGAAAAATTTTCCATGGACCTTTTTCCTCTCTATCTGCCTAAAATAATTTCTTAATAACTCCTACCTCACTGTAGCCTAGGTTGGAGTGCAGTGTGGCAACATCTCGGCTCACTGCAACCTCCGCCTCTCGGGTTCAAGCAATTCTCTTGCCATAGCCACCCACATAGCTGGGACTACAGGCACCCACCACCAAGCCCGGCTAGTTTTTTGTATTTTAGTAGAGAGGGGTCTCACCATGTTGGCCAGGCTGGTCTTGAGCTCCTGAGCTCAAGCAATCCACCTGCCTTGGCCTCCCAAAGTGCTGGAATTACAAGCATGAACCACTGTACCTGGCCTTTCATAGGAGATTAATGGCTGATTTTACCCACCAACCTGGTGATCATGAACCAGCCATCTATAACCTTGTTGATCTAGCTCAACCCATTATATAAAACTGTGCTTGGATTGTATGGAATGCTACACACTTACAATTAAAGATATTTAGAGCTGGGCATGGTGGGTCACACATGTAATCATAGCACTTTGGAAGGCCAAGGAGGGAGGATTGTTTGAACCTGGGATTTCCAGAGCAGCCTAGGCAACATAGTGAGAACCCATTTCTTTTTTTGTCTTTTCTTTTCTTTTCTTTTTTTTTTGAGATGGAGTTTTGCTCTTGTTGCCCAGGCTGGAGTGCAATTGCGCGGTCTCAGCTCACTGCAACCTCCGCCTCCTGGGTTCAAGTGATTCTCCTGCCTCAGCCTCTTGAGTAGCTGGGATTACAGGCACGTGCCACCATGCCCGGCTAAGTTTTTGTATTTTTAGTGGAGATGGGGTTTTACCATGTTGGCCAGGCTGGTCTCGAACTCCTGACCTCAGGTGATTCACCCCCCTCAGCCTCCTAAAGTGCTGGGATTACAGGCATGAGCCACCATGCCAGGTGGGGGTAGGTGGGGAAGCCCATTTCTATTAAAAAAAAAAAAAAAAAGGCCAGGTGTGGTGGCTCATGCCTGTAATCCCAGCACTTTGGGAGGTCAAGGCAGGAGGATCACCTGAGATCAGGAGTTCGAGACAAGCCTGCCCAACATGGTGAAACCCCGTCTCCACTAAAAATACAAAAAATTAGCCGGGCATGGTAGCACGTGCCTGTAATCCCAGATACTCGGGAGGCTGAGGCAGGAGAATCACTTGAACCCAGGAGGCGGAGGTTGCAGTGAGTTGAGATCCTGCCACTGCACTCTAGCCTGGGTGACAGAGGGAGACTCCATCTCCAAAGGAAAAAAAAAAAGAGAAAGTAAAATTTGTACTTCAATTCAGAGATTATAAACAATGTATACTTGACTTTGTGGCAGTGATCACTATTGTACAATAGTTACTTAAACTCAGGAGGCAGAGGCTGCAGTGAGCCAAGATAGCTCCACTGCACTCCAGCCTGGGTGACAGAGCGAGACTCTGTCTCAAAAAAAAAAAAAAAAAAAAAGTTACTCACTCATTTGTTCTGCAGAATCTATTTATTGCTGTGTTCACAGAAAAGGAAGCATCAAGACGGCAAAGCTCTTTGATGAAAAGCCAGGCGTACTCACACACACAACTGAGAAAGTTCTGGAAGTAGGAGAAAACGTCTTTAAGGCATATAGGCTAAACTTATATAAATATTGTTAGTGTTTGCCAAAACAGGGATAATCTAGTAAAATCAGAGATACAAAGCCAGAACAGAGAATTGGTAAGTAAAAAATTGTTAAGAATGTATATTGGCTGGGCGCGATGGCTCATGCCTGTAATACTAGCACTTTGGGGAGGCTGAGGGGGGCAGATTGCTTGAGCTCAGGAGTTTGAGACCAGCCTGGGCAACCCTTTCACTACTGAAAATACAAAAAAAAAAAAAAAAAAAACCAAAAACAAAACTGGGCGTGCTGGTGCGCACGTGTGGTCCCAATTACCCTGGAGGCTAATGTGGAAGGATCGCTTGAGCCCAGAGTGTGGGGGTGGGGGTTGGGAGGCAAGGTTGCAGTGAGCCTGGATTGCACCACTGCACTTCAGCCTGGGTAACAGAGCGAGACCTTGTCTCAAAAAAAAAAAAAGTATCAAAAGGCCTAGGAATTTGTTCTCCAGGTAAATCTGCCCTCCCTCATCTCTAACCTTTATGAAATCACCCAAATGGAGACATCACAGCAAGGCCCCGACAAGGAAATGACAGGAATGTAGGTGGATAAGGGACTGGAATAGTGCAGCACAACACTAACTACAGGTTTCAGCCCCAATGAGATTGCCCTCACTTCCGCCGCCAGCCACAAGTGTGGAGGTCCCCAGGCTACTCGCTCCTCTGACCAACTGGCTACTAATCTGGGGGGTACCCACAACCCCCTCGGGTTTGATAATTTGCTAGAACAACTCACCAAACTCAGGAGAATGTTATACTTACGATTACAGGCTTGTTACAAAGGATACAAATCAGGAGGACCAGACTAATGAAGACACACGTAGGGCGGGGTCCGGGCGGGTCTTCCATGCAGAGCTTCTGTGTCTTCTCTCTGTGAATCAGGTTGTGTCACCCTCCTGGCACATGGATGTGTTCACCAACCAGGAAGCTCCACCAAATTTTGGCGTCCAGAGTTTTCATTACATAGGCACAATTGGTTGACTCATTTGCCACCGAATTGAACGCAATCTCTAGTCCTCCCACCCTCCGTCGAGGTTGGGCTGGCTCTAAGGCCCAATCCTTTTATTATGTGATCTTTCTGATGACCAACCTCCCATCGTGAGTTCTCTCTTAGCATAAGCCCAGGTGTGATCCAAGGGGCTCATGAATAACAAAGATACTCATATTACTCAGGAGATTCCAAGGATTTAGTTTCCCTCCTAGGAACCAGGGACAAAGGGCAGTCAAATTCTTTATTGTTATCACAGAGACACAGTAATATAATATGATACAGCAGAAGAGAGGTGAGGAATGTTGCCATGCCTTGAGAAGCCTATCACAAGAGCTTTAAGGAATTCACACTTAAATATTAATAGGTACATTATGAAAGAAATCAGCCAAGTACAGTCTTTTCTTATTATGGAATCTAGTTATTGCAGGAATTGAAAAATTGATGTAATAAAGCCTAGAATGCAATAAAGGAATCGGCATTCAAGTAGATGAGAGAGGTTGGGGAATATGTCAAGATGCAAAAGTGAGAGAGCTGTCACAGTTTACTTACTCTGCAATCTCTGAGGATGGAACAGGATCAAAGATGAAGCCAGGAAGCACAGAGTAGTTTTCTTCCTCCCTAATCTCATCCCTTGTTTTCATTTGGCACTTTAAAAAATTTCCACATTTATATTCATATGGAATTGATTTTGAGTATAGAGAGATAATTCTAATTATTATTGTTTTTCAAATGTTAGCCAGTTGAACCATTTATCATAATCAAGGTGATAATATGGCTTATTTTCTTTGGCCTACAGAGATGATAAATTTGAATATATTTTAAAATATAAAACTATCTTTAAAATTTGAATATATTTGAATATGATACATTTGAATATATTTTAAAACATAGAGCTATCTTTGTACTCCTGGTTAGTCATGGTGCATTTTTTTTTAATACTTCATATTAAATTTTTACCTTCTGGATTGAGACACTAGAGTTCTTAAAGGTTCTTTCAGAAATTCTTCCTATATTCAGTATGCTACCAGAAAACCTCTTACAACTAACCTTACAGAAGATACTGTTTTCTTTGTACTTTGTCCAATATCAAAGGAAACCTCCAAGTTCCAAGGAGGTCAGGCTACTAATACCCACAAATGAATTCTGATGAGATCATTACACAATAAACAATAACTGTTGCTTATTACATGCTTACTTTGTACTAGGCAGGACTAAGATAAGTATTATTTAAGTTTTAAGATCATTCTTAATTTCTTGTCAAAAGTATACTGGTTTGCAAAGTAATGAATAAAATAAATCTTTAACAATATCCCTATAGTAAAGACAATGGTGAACTTCTTATGCCTCTTTTAAAAAACTCTGCTTATGATGACAATTTCAAACATACACAGAAGCCGTGAGTATATAATGAGTCTTGCTGTATCCATCACAAAGTTTTAAAAACTGTCAAAAGTTGACCATACTCACTTAATCTACTCCTACCACTTTTTCAGCTGGAGATCTTTTAAAGCAAATTCTACACATTGTGCCATATCATCCATAAATTATTTTGCATTACATCCCATTCTTATTGAGTCCCTGCAAGCTGAGAGCCGACTGCCAAAGCACAATTCACTGTAAGAGATTCTGTGAAGGGTTAAAACAAACAGTCCAAATTCACAGTGCTGCAAATGTCTGTAATTGCATAATCTGCAAAATATATTCTTCAAGAAATCCTCTGTGCACTTGGTTTCCCTTAACTGAGTTTTTTTTTCTTCTTCAGACCAGATTAATTGATGAGAACTGACAAGCAGGGGAGAGAGGTGATGTTTAAGGTTATATATTTTGGCAAAAAATTATGAGTGTAAATTGTGCTTGTTTCTGATTAAGAGAGGTCCATTAATCAGAAAGTAAACTTGGCATCCTCGTAGAAAAATCACATAGCTTAACAAGAATTCATGACTCTGAATTGCTGCACAGACAGGTAGCATGAGTTCTTGGCAGGATTCTTTCAGCTGAGCTGTTTTCCATTAGAATGGTGTCTGATATGGTTTAGCTGGGTCTCCACCCAAATCTCATCTTGAATTGTAGTTCCCTTAATCCCCACGTGTCATGAGAGGGACCTGGTGGGAGGTAACTGAATCATGAGGGGCAGGTTTTTCCCATGCTATTCTTCTTGTGATAGTGAATAAGTCTCATGAGATCTCATGGTTTTATAAAGGTAGTTCTGCACACGCTCTTGCCTGCTGCCATGTAAGACATGCCTTTGCTCCTCCTTCATCTTCCACCATGATTTTGAGGGCCTCCTCAGCCATGTGGAACTGTGAATGCATTAAACCTCTTTTTCTTTATAAATTACCCAGTGTCAGGTATTTATTCATAGCAGTATGAAAACGGACTAATACGGCTGGGTGCAGTGGCTCATGCCTGTAATCCTAGCACTTTGAGAGGCCGAGGCAGGTGAATCATTTGAGGCCAGGAGTTCAAGATCAGCCTGGTGGTCAATATGGTGAAACCCCATCTCTACTAAACAAACAAACAAAAAAAATTAGCCATGCATGGCGGTTGGCGCCTATAATCCCAGCTACTTAGAAGGCTGAGGAAGGAGAATTGCTTGAACCTGGGAGGTGGAGGGTGCAGTGAACCGAGATTGTGCCACCGTACTCCAGCCTGGGTGACAGAGCAAGACTGTCTCAAAAATAAAAATAAAAAAAGAAAATGGATTAATACAGTAAATTGGTACCAGTAAAGTGGGGTACTGCTATAAAGATACCTGAAAATGTGGAAATGGGTAACAGGCAGAGGTTAGAAGTTTAGAGGGCTCAGAAGAAGACACAAAAATGTGGGAAAGTTTGGAACTTCCTCAAGACTTGGAGGGCTCAGAAGACAGGAAAATGTGGGAAACTTTGGAACTTCCTAGAGACTTGTTGAATGGCTTTGACCAAAATGCTGACAGTGATATGGACAATATTTGTCCAGGCTAAGGTGGTCTCAGATGGAGATAAGGAACTTGTTGGGACCTGGAGTAAAGGTCACTCTTCCTATGCAAAGAGACTGGCGGTATTTTGCCCCTGCCCTAGAGATCTGTGGAACTTTGAACTGAAAGAAATGACTTAGGGTATCTGGCAGAAGAAATTTCTAAGTGGTAAAGCTGTTCAAGTGGAAGTAGAGCATAAAAGTTTGGAAAATTTGCAGTCTGATGATGCGATAGAAAAGAAAAACCCATTTTCTAGGGAGAAATTCAAGTTTGCTGCAGAAATTTGCATAAGTAAAGAGGAGTGGAATGTTAATCACTAAGACAATGGGGAAAATGTCTCCAGGGAATATTAGAGAACTTCATAGCAGCCCCTCCCATCACAGGCCTGGAGGCCTAGGAGGGAAAAAGGGTTTGTGGGCTGGGCTAAGGGACCCCTGCTCTATGCAGCCTGGGGACATGGTGCCCTACATCCCAGCTACTTTAGCTCCAGCTGTGGCTAAAAAGGGCCAACCTACAGCTCAGGCCATTGCTTCAGAGGTTCCAAGCCCCAAGCCTTGATAGCTTACAAATGTGCTGGGCCTGTGGGTGCACAGAAGTCAAGAATTGAGGTTTGAGAACCTCTGCCTAGGTTTCAGAGCATGTATGTAAATGCCTAGATGTCTAGGCAGAAGTTTGCTGCAGGGGTGGAGCCCTTATGGAGAACCTCTGCTAGGGCAGTGCAGAAGGGAAATGTGGGGTCAGAGCCCCTACACAGAGTTCCCCACCGGGGCATTGCCTGGTGGAGCTGTGAGAAGAGGGCCACCATCCTCCAAACCCCAGAATGGTAGATCCACCAACAGCTTACACCATGCACCTGGAAAAGCTGGAGACACTCAACACTAGCCCATGAAAGCAGCTGGAAGGGGGGCTGTACCCTGCAAAGCCACAGAGGCAGAACTACCCAATGCTGTGGGAGCCCATCTCTCACATCAGCATGACCTGGATGTGAGACATGGAGTCAAAGGGGGAGCATTTTGGAACGTTAAGGTTTAATGACTGCCCTACTGTATTTCAGACTTGTATGGGGCTTGTGGCACCTTTATTTTGGCCAATGTATCCCATTGGAATGGGTGTATTTACCCAATGCCTGTACCCCCATTGTATCTAGGAAGTAACTAACTTGCTTTTGATTTACAGGCTCATAGGAAGAGGGACTTGCCTTGTCTCAGATGATACTTTGGAGTTGGACTTTTGAGTTAATGCTGAAATGAGTTAAGACTTTGGTGGACTGTTGAAAGGCATGATTGTGTGTTGAATTGTGAAGACATGAAATTTGGGAGGGGCCAGGGGAGGAATGATATGGTTTGGCTGTGTCTCCACCCAAATATCATCTTGAATTGTAGTTCCCATAATCCCCATGTGTCATGGGAGGGACTTGGTGGCAGGTAACTGAATCATGGGTGGCGGGTTTTTCCCATGCTATTGTCATGATAGTGAATAAGTCTTATGAGATCTGATGGTTTTATAAAGGGCTGTTCCCCTGAGCATGCTCTTGCCTGCTGCCATGTACAACATGCTTTTGCTCCTCCTTCACTTTCCACCATGATTATGAGGCCTCCACAGCCATGTGGAACTGTGAATCCATTAAATCTCTCTTCCTTCCTTCCCTTCCTTCCTTCCTTTCCTTCTTTCTTTTCTTTTCTTTTCTTTTCTTTTCTTTTCTTTTCTTTTCTTTCGAGTCTCACTCTGTCACCCAGGCTGGAGTGCAGTGGCATGATCTCGGCTCACTGCAACCTCCATCTCCTGGGTTCAAGTGATTCTCCTGCCTTAGCCTCCTGAGTAGCTGGGATTACAGGTATGTGTCATCACAGCTGGCTAATTTTTGTATTTTTAGTGGAGACGAGGTTTCACCATGTTGGCCAGGCTGGTCTTGAAATTCTGACCTCAGGTGATCCGCCTGCCTCAGCCTCCCAAAGTGCTGGGATTACAGGCATGAGCCACGCGCCCAGCTCAGAATTATAAATTACCCAGTCTTGGGTATTTCTTCATAGCAGTATGAAAATGGACTAATACATTATCTCTTGGAAGTGAATGGCCAGAGTGAAAGAAACCAGAAAAAAAAAAAAAAAAGAAGAATACATACTATATGATTTCATTTATATAAAACTCTAGGAGAAGCAAATAATCTACAGTGACAGAAAGCAGATCAGTGAGTGTTTGAGAATGGGCATGGCAGGAGGGAAGGAAGTATAACGGGCATGAGAAAACTTTTGAGAGGTATGGATGTGTTCACTATCTTGATTGTGGTGACAGTTTCATAGTATACAAATACGACAAAACTGATCAAAGTGCACACTTTAAATCTGTGCAATTATGTCTCAATAATTTTTTTTTTTAAAGAATAGCCAAGGCCGGGTGCGGTGGCTCATGCCTGTAATCCCAGCACTTTGGGAGGCCGAGGTGGGCGGATCACGAGGTCAGGAGATCGAGACCATCCTGGCTAACATGGTGAAACCCCGTCTCTACTAAAAATACAAAAAATTAGCCGGGCAAGGTGGCAGGCGCCTGTAGTCCCAGCTACTCGGGAGGCTGAGGCAGGAGAATGGCGTGAACCCCAGGGGGCGGAGCCTGCAGTGAGCTGAGATTGCGCCACTGCACTCCAGCCTGAGTGACAGAGCAAGACTCCCTCTCAAAAAAAATAAAAATAAAAAAATAAAGAATAGCCAAGTGGTAGAAAGCCTGCAGATGCTGTTCCAGAGCTGTGCCCACAGCTCTGGGCCCAGGTCACAGGTATAACCTGCAATAAGAAGAGACAAGAGTCTGAGGGCTGACCATCTGTGGGCCCACAAGTTAAGGAAACCAAAGTTTGGGTGCACAAATCATTACTGGAAAGGGATCCTGATCCAGTCACTTCTCAAGAGAGGGTTCTTAGACATTGTGCAAGAAAGAATTTGGGGCGAGTCCACAGAGTAAAGTGAAAGCAAGTTTATTAAGAAATAAAGGAATAAAAGAGTGGTTACCTCATAGGTGGAGTGGCTCTGAGGGCTGCTAGTTGGCTATTTTTATGATTCTTTCTTTCTTTTCCTTTTTTTTTTTTTTTTGAGACACAGTTTTGCTCTTGGAGTGCAATGGCGCGATCTCAGCTTATTGCAACCTCTGCCTCCTGGGTTTAAGCGATTCTCCTGCCTCAGCCTCCTGAGTAGCTGGGTTTACAGGCATGCACCACTCCCAGCTAATTTTGTATTTTTAGTAGAGATGGGGCTTCACCATGTTGGTCAGGCTGGTCTCCAACTCCTGACCTGAAGTGATCTGCCTGCCTTGGCCTCCCAAAGTGCTGGGACTACAGGCATGAGCCACAGCGCCTAGCCAATTATTTCTTAATCATATGCTAAACAAGGGGTGGGGTATCCATGAATTTTCTGGGAAAGGGATGGAGATTTCCTGGAACTGTGGGTTCTTCTTCCTTTTAGATCATATAGGGTAACTCTGGGACATTGCCATGACATTTATAAACTATCTTGGTGCTGGTGGGGGGTGACTTTTGGCATGCTAATGCATTATAATTAGCATGTAATGGGCAGTGAGGATGACCAAAAGTCACTTTTGTCACCATCTTGGTTTGGGCCGGCTTCTTTACTGCATCCTATTTTATCAGCGAGGTCTTTGTGGCCTGTATCTTGTGCTGACCTCCTATATCATCCTGTGACTAAGAATTCCCAACCTCCTGGGAATGCAGCCCAGCAGGTCTCAGCCTCATTTTACCCAGCCCCTATTTAAGATGGAGTTGCTCTGATTCAAACATCTCCGACAAAACCACTGATTGGGTATAGAGTCCCAACCAGCCAGTTATTGAAATTTTGTTTTTTTGTTATCACAGCCTAGCCTAATCTAACTAAAGAAAGGGGGATCAGGAAGCAACTTTATTTTCACTTCACCGTGTCCCTTTACATCCATTTTGTGGGATTTCTTCTCCTTTTGCCCCAAGATGAAATTTGGAGCAAGCCCCATGAACTTTCTAGTCATTTGTAGGTAATCTAAGGTCATTGGGTTACTCCAATTCCCCAAGGAGTTTAATAAGTAATTAAATGGTCCAATCTCATGTAATAGTAGAAACTTTAAACTTTATTTAAATTTGAGATTTCTTCCCGTACTTTATGCTATTTACAGACCAGCCACCCTCAATGGGAATTGAGGTGTGTGGTGACCTCTGATTTCCCACTTTGCGCTTTGTGGCAGAAATTGCAGTTATCACCAAATATTCATTCTCCTCTTCTTCCTGATTAGTAAGACTCCCAAATTTTTGCTGGACTTATGGCC